>NC_000023.11:32738915-32889271 GCF_000001405.40 Homo sapiens
TGATAGAATAAATGAGGCAGAAGACAGCTTTTAAGGGATTAAGGAGAAAATGGATATTAAGAAAATGTAACTTCAGGCATAGAGAATAACTTCAGGATGTTTTGCAATTATAATGGTTATAATGGCTCAAAACTTGCCAAGTCCTGCACTAAATGTTTCAAATCAACTAATTCATTTAATTCTTGTAACAGTCCTATGGTATGAATACAATTCTCACTTTCATTTTCTAGATGAGGAAAAGGCTCAGGGATCTTAAGAAATTTGCACAAGTTTACACAGCTAAAAAGTGGCAAGGTTAGTTTTGACCCAGGCAGTCCAGCTCCAGAACCTATGCTGTCCTCCCTACTGTTCACATGGCTTCTGAGACAAGAGTAGTGATTTAAATTTAGAACATGTGGCCAAGTCTTTTACCCTAATGTGGCAAAATCAGGAATAAAAAATTAAGTGTTTTAGTATTCATTTTGGGTAAATTTCTATGAGTGCGCTTGAAAACAGTTCATGAAACTGAGAAAAACACAAGTGTAAGATTACCATAATACAAAGCATGTGATCACTTTGGAAAGGTGTATACTACTATGGAAAAGGTATAGGCAATACTTCTAGTTAGAATGATTTGGAAAAGGTTTGTAGGAAAGATATTTTAATTAAATTCCACCAGAGGAAAAGAAATAATACAGCAATTTTGGGAAATTATTAACAGACCAGTGGTTGGAGATTGAGATAAATTTGGAAACTTGAGAAGTATGTGGTTGAAATGTGACCATGGACAGTCGAAAGTACCACTGTTGAAGTGTTTTCCATTGTGGAATCTTAAGAGAAGAGCTTTTATACTTTAGGGCAGCAGTTCTCATAGTGTGGTTCTCAGACATCAGAATCAACAGCAACTGGGAATTTGTGAGAAGTGCAACCGCTCTGGCTGTACTCTAGACCTACAGGATGAGAAACTCAGGGGGTGGATCCCAACACTCCCTGTTTTAACAAACCTCTAGGTTATTCTGATGCATGTTCAAGTTTGAGAACCCTTGTTTTAAGGGATGTGGTTGCCATTAAGTCTATTCACCAAAGTTCCATTCTTTTATTCCAGGCTCCTGATAGTATCTTTTACTCTGCCTACTTGTACTTTGATATGGCCATGTGACTTACTTCATCAAATTAAATGTGAACAGAAGTGATGTGCGCCATTTCCAAGCAGAAGCTTTACGGGTTATCGTGTGCTTTCACATGTTCTCTTGCGTTCTTAAAGTTTATATTGAGATGACCCTTCTCTCAGCCCAGGTCCTTCAGCTGAGTACAATGAGTTGAGACGCCTACCAATCTATAGTGACATGAAGTTTGGCGGGAAGAAAATTCTATTCTTTTGAGTCGCTGAGATATCAGAATTATTCTTATAGATGCATAATGTAGTGTATCCTGATTTATAGGGGCCATGGTACAGAGAAGGGATCTATTTCATGGTAAAGAGAACATGTGTATCAACAGATTTATGGTATCTATGGAAGAGGAAAACATGGGAATCACTATTAAACCTCAGAAAAAAGGATCATATATTGTCACATAAATAAGAGAGGAGAAAGAACAGAGAGAAGGAGAAGTTAATGACCACCAACATATTAACAATATTTATCTTTCGGTGTAAGAATTTTACATGAATATTTACTATATTATTATTTAAGCATTATATAATCATAAAATAGAAATGAATATTATAAAAGCATAAAGTTTATGACACAAAATTGGCCTCGAATCTCATCTTTTGGAGGGCATAAACTCATGGAAGACTTTCTTAATTAGACCATTTTGTGAGTGTATTTACTACCTCTTGATCTGTATCCATGTGTAGGACACTGTTTTAAGTACTTCCCATGCGTTATTTCTATGATCTTTCTCATAGACTTGCTGGGTAAAATTTGTTATCCCAAGGTTGGCATTGAATTCTCAAGTGTTTACATAACATGCCCTAGATTATACAGTAAGTAAATATATACTCATGGATTCAAATCAAGTTATTTATGACTCTAAAACTTAAGTTCTTTTCATTATAGCATGCTGTTGTATGAAGATTTATCTGAGTCTGTACCTACCCAGATATAGGAAGGTGTGTGTGTACGTTTGTTTAAACAAGTTAGTATATTTGGTAACCTTTAGAAAATAAGTGACTCTTGTATGTGCCGAGAAGGAGGCTGGTGATTTATGCTCAATGTCATAGTGTAATAGAATCTGTAATAATCATAATAACGCAAGAAAAATCTGATGACTGGACATAGCTAATCACACGGATATTGCCACTAAATGTACTTCCATTTTACAATAAAGCGATGTGATAAAGAATCATGACTCTTTGAGAGGGCAACAGCGCTGACATTTCTAGGTCAAAAGTTTTCATGAGATTATGGAGTACCTAAACATGTACAATTAGCCTCCAGATGTTCACACATCTGCAATATATTTTTTCAAACCTTTGTCACTCACTGTCAGTTAGGATTCGAAACATACTAAAGCTTTTCTCCCCCTTTTTAAACACAAAATCCTAAAACTTTAGGAGCCAGACTTGGCACATATATTGTTGTCGTTAAGGTGATATCCATGAGTCCATAAGACGATCAACAACCTTATCTGTCTGCTGGATTGTACAAACAGAATTAATAGCTGCCTTAAGATAGAGTTTGGCTGAACGAGTAGTACTTCTGGGCATATAAATGGACTTCAGAGAAGTCCATGAATTTTCTGGTATCATATGCAAATTCTTTTGTGTTTGTACAAATGTGCATGAGAGGGTCCAAAGCTTTTGTCATATCTCTAATTGGTATAATACCAACACAATATTTGGTTGCATAGTCCTGTGAATATACTAAAAACATTGAGTTGTATACTTTAAACAGATGATTGTATGGCATATAAATTATATCTCAATAAAGCTGTTCCATTTTAAACATGACTAGCCTAGAACCTTTTAAATAAACTTGTTAGGCAAAAGTTGAAGCCGCTTGATGTTTATGTTACTATTAGATTGGTGCAACAGTAATTGCATTTTCTTGCCATTGAAAGTAATGGCAAAAACCGTGATTACTTTTGCACCAACTTAATATATTTTTAGAATGTGTGTTCCATGTCAAATGGTCCAACTCTTGACTCAATCCCAACTAATGACCTGTTCAGTGCCCTTGACTATGGTGCCGTACACTTGGCTATGGTCATGCCACTATGATGACCTGGTTACACAGCTACCACCCATTCCCTTTGGTAACAGATAACACACCATTCTGATATTGTCACTGCATCTTCTGGCTTGTATCACTCTACAGTAATGACACAATCCAACTAATATGTCTTTTATTTTTAGGAGGAAAGAATGATGTGTTTATTCCGTTCTAAAATAAAGCCAATGTTTTTATTAAATATTCTTCGTGCCCACTGGGATGTGAATGCCAATAGGATAAAATACATCAGAGAAGCCTAAGGATTCCATGAGAACAAGGAATCAGACAAGTAATCATGTGCCACAGATAGACTCAGCTGGTGGAAGTGAAAATATTATAGGTCAAGATGCCTCATAGGTAAGAGGAAAAATGCGAGGTAGAGAAGACCGGGAGTTAATAGTGTAAGTTTAAGCTGCTGGGCAAGGCCGAAGCATGAAATATTCAGAAGGGATACACAGACACCCAAGCTAAAGCTCATCTGGACAATCACAAGGGTTTAGAGGAGAGTAAATGGGACAAAAGAATCAGGAATGAGACCTAAGCAATGAGAAAATGGGAAGTAAATTATGAAGATACAAGGCAACACAGACATTGGGCAGTAGGTATAAGGAAAAAGGCTGGGGCCAAGAATCAAGGCTTTGGCCTGCTTCCCATATGTGTGATATTTGACAAGTAAGTAATCTTTTCGAAATTTTCATGTTCTCTTCTGTAAAATTGTTACATGAATAATTTATTTAATCCTCACTGCAATCCTACGATGTAGATACTATTATGATCCCCATTTTACAGATGAAGAAACGAAGGCCAAGAGAGGATAAGTAAGTTGCCAGAGATCACACTGCTAGTAAATGGCAAAATGGAGATTCAAACCCCATTAGGCTGGTGCTGATGATACCCTGTCTCTTCCTCTGAGTCCTTCGCATTTCAGTGGACATTGTTCCAACTTCCACCTGCCAGCTCCTGCATCTCTTTGCCTACTGGAGTCTGTTCTTCCGGAGTGCATGCAATAGATCAAAAATGCTAGGGAGTGAATGCACAGCCCCTCCCGGGATCTGCCAACAGATGACCAGCAGGAGTTGGTGTATAAATACCTTAGCATTCTCATCTCTTCAAAGGATAAGTCTGAGGTGTGTGTTCCACATAATTTTCTTCAAGTCCCCAGTCAAATTGAGCGCCAGTTGTCCACCACAGTTTAAACTCTTGAAATGTAGTCTTCATTGACTTTCCTTCCTTCTTTGTCTCACTTTATCATTTTCCTACTCATATTCCCTAGCATCTCATCCCAAATAAACTAGAAGGGGGAAGTATTCTGAAAATCATAAAGACAGGGTAAATTTAAACTATTATTTTATTATCATTATTAGTAACATCGATATCTGAGCCAAAATCAAAAAAGAAAGGACCCTTATTTGTACTCTTTCTGGTTAGGATTCTAACCATGAGTGTTAGAATGTTGTTGGCACTGAACCCATAGTTACAGTTTCCAATAATTTCTGAATGCCAAGAAAAGTGACCGTGGAAGGAAAGCAGAGTTTTTAACTCTGTGGAATGTGTTCAGTGGGTGAGGAATGGGAGGAAGTTCTATTTTGCTCTCAGTAGAACATTAAAAATGGCTTCCTCTGTAAAGCATTCTGTGGTTCCCCCAAGATAAGGGCAGGTCTGTCTGTCATAAACTGCCATAGCACCCATTACTTATACAACTAAATAAAATAGTATTGAGTGATGGGTGGTTAGTCTCTCCAATGTAGCTCTTTTTCAATGAAAATAGACATTGTGTTTCTTCCAGGGCCTCACACAGTTCCCTATATATTTTACATAAAAAAATATATACCTAAAATATTTGGTGCCTAATAAATATATAGAAACTATGCTAGGCACAGGGCAGGGTGTGGTGATTTAGCTAGACTATTTACCCTGTCCTCATAAACACACAAAATGGATTTAAGGAACACATATTCATCTTTAAACCCTCTCTCACCAGCTAGTAAGCACACTCAGGGCTTTTCAGTTACCCTCTACTTACAAGCTATTTCTGAATCATTTCTGCAACCATCTTCTAGGAAGGATAACCATTCTTACAATTTTTTTTTTTTTTGCCATTCCTCCAAAGTTGCTCTTTTGAATATTATCAAAACTTCCAATTTGCCAAATCTAATAAACTATTTTAACCCACATCTTACTTAATGTTTTCAGTGGAATTTAGTACTTAATTATTCCTCTCATGATCAACCCTCCCACCTCTCTGCCACAACCTTTTTGGTCTTCCTAGCATTGTGTGATCTTGGTGTCTTCTTCTCATAAGGCATATTCTCTCATGGTTTCAACTGTTAAATATGCTAATGATTAAAAACTGTGCACCTATCTGCTCAAACCTCCTTTTTAAGGTTCAGATTCATATACATGGTGGCCTAGTAGACATTTTACCAAAAGCACATTAAATTAGACCTAAGAAAAATGAAATCCATCTTCTTTACTCCCTCCCTCCAAACCTCGTTATTTAAACTGGACTTCTGTTCACTTGTGTAAGACATTATCATACAGATCATCCTAGCATACTTCACCTCCCTATCCTGTCATATCTAGTCATTCCTTAAGTCCCATCAATGAATCTTCTCCATCCCAATCAATCCTCTTCATCTGCTTTGTCAATACTCTAGGTTCAGGATATAAACACTTTTCATCTGGACTATTACCAGTCTCCGAAAAGATACAATTTTTCTCAAATACGTATGATTTTAGAAGAGATTACCATCAGGATCATTGGCTCATTATCTTCAGGGCAGTGATGCGGGGTGGGAGAGTTCTTAAAGGACTGTATTCTACATGTGATTATGAGTCAAATTTTCCAGACCACTGTAGACACAATCTTACACTTCACTGTTTCACGCAGCTATGATACCTACACAACAACTGTAAGGATGTGAGTTTGAGATGTAGATTGTTATTGCAGACTAACAACCACTCCTTGCTAAGTTTGTTTCAAAATGGACTTAAGGGGGTGATCTCAGTTGTTTTTGGCAAGAAAAAAGTAATTGGCAAGAAAAAAGTAATTGGCAAGAAAGCCAGAGAAAGAGAAAGAGGAAATGTTTGTTCAGCCCATGAATGAGTAACATTACAATGCTTTTTATAACTTCAAACATTCACCCCCATACAAATGCTCTATAAAACTATTGTCATGATGATCAATCAGCATTTTAAGTTGAAACATATATATCCAAGTTTCTGATCTTGTTCTGTATCAACACAGCACTCACAGAACTCAGGAAATCCCTATAGCCTCCTTAGCTTCCATCTTTCTCTTGTCTTTTGAAATACCTTAAAGCACAAAAGCATATTTTCAGGCAAAGGTAAAAATAATTGTAGGAATGATGGTTTCACAGACAGGGTGTCTTCAGTGACAGTTAAGTTCCTATGGTGAGACACTGTAATGAGTTCAAAGTGTTTACAGCTTCAATACTGCTTGTCAAACACTCCTTCAATGCAATGAATTCTTGGCTACAAGCCACAAATGTGCTTTGAGAAATAAAAAGCGAGTGAATATACTGGTGTTTCTATTATTGGTCCAGCTGAGATAGTTGCTTTTTTATTCTTAATAAAAGTTTTCTCGAGGTAGTCATAATTTCAAAACCCTGCTTATAGTAATGAATCATGGTTATTTACAAAGTAATTCAGTTTCACTATGATCACGATTTGTATAAGTAATGTAGTCATATAGTCGAAGACTTTTCAGGGATGTTTTCTGTTTAAACTGATAAGCTGCAAAATTCTGTATTTTCCTTAATAAAAATGTTTCAGGAAAAAGACAGCGAACAGCTAGATTTGAAGAGTAAAAATAAAGAATAAAGCCAGTAGGAAACACAAACTTCTAGAACTTTTAAATTGTTAAACATCTTTGTGGAAGTAACTACCATTTTCACCAAATCTGCAAATCATATTCCAACAAGTTGTAAAAATAAGCCATAATTCTTAGAATTGAAAGTCTCTTATCATTCTACAGGTAATAACATGACTTGGTCCTGTTCTCTGGGTAATGGAGTAAAATGTTACTGGCATATTCCCATGTTTAGACAGATTTGCAAATAGCCCCAGAGAATTCCATTCCTAACCTGGGATATGTTACTCAAAGACGTTCTATCTGGAGTCAAGCTTTCATACAAGAATCATAGACATACTTCAAGGGATCCATGAACACTGGAAAGTATATGGAAACTATGTTCACGTTTTTTATTTTTCAAGAAAATCTACACCATCCAGCAGAATCTCACACAGATCCTTAATTTTAAAATGAGTTAAGAAGCAGTGGTCTAGGGCAGGCTATGGTTCTCAAAGTGTGGATCCAGACCAGCATCAGCGTCACCTGGGACCTTTTTAGAAATACCGAATTTCAGGACTCTCCCAGACTTACTTGGTTAGTATCTCAGGGAGTGAGACCCAGAAATCTGTGTTTTCTTTTTAATGTTTAATCGACACATAATTATGCATATTTAGGAGGTACAGAGTGATATTTTCCTATATGAATATAACATGTAATAATCAAATCAGGCTAATTATCATATCCATTACCTCAAATATTTGTCATTTCTTTGTGTTGGGAAGTTTCAAAATCCTCTCTTCTAGCTATTTAAACATGCACAATAAATTACTGTTAACTGAAGTTACCTTACAGTGCTTTAGAACACTAGTACATATCCGTCCTATTTAGCTTATCATTTTGTATCTGTTAACTAGCTTGTCCCTTTCCTCCCTCTCCTCCCTCTTACCCTCCCCGGCTTCTGCTAACCACTATTCTACTGCCTGCTTCTATGAAATCAAACTTTTTAGCTCTAACATATGAAAACTTGTGATATTTATCTCTTCGTGCCCGACTTATTTCACTTAACAGTATCCAGGCTCATCCATGTTACCACCAATTACAGGATTTCATTCTTTTTATGGCTGAATAATATTCCATTGTGTTTATATGCCATATTTTTAAATTCATTTATCTGTTAATGGACACTTAGGTTGATTCCGTATCTCAACAATCTGTTTTAACAAGGCCTCCAGAAAATTCTGATGTGCACTCAAGTTTGAGAACCTCTAATTTGCGCAACAATTTTCAAATGGATTTTTTACAATGTCTCCTCAAATTTTGATTCAGTTATGTTTGGGAAATATATTTTAAATCTTCCCAGGCAATTCTGAGGATTAACCTGTTTGGGACAGCTACTCCAGGGCAAAGCTACTCAAACTTTAGTTGGAGAACGAGTACCATCAGCCTCACCTGGGAGACAGTTGTGGCTGCAGAATCTTGCCCACATCCTTAGACATACTCAATCAAGCGTGAGAGTGAGACCTAGGGATCTGTGTTTTGCTGGGTTTATTTATTTACTTACTTACTGTATTTGAAACAAGATCTCACTCTGTTGTCCAGGCTCGAGTGCAGTGGCATGATCATGCACTCACTGTAGCATCAAACTCCTGTGTTTAAGCAATCCTGATCCTCCCGCCTCAGCGTCCCGAATAGTTAGGACTACAGGTTTGCACTACCACACCTCGCTAATTTTTTTTTTAAGTATTTTTTGCTGTGTTTCTCAGTCTTGTCTGGAACTCCTGGGCTGAAGGGATCTGCCTGCCTTGGCCTCCCAAAGTGCTGGGACTACAGGTGTGAGCCAACATGCCGGGGAGGAATCCGTTTTAACCACCACCTTCCCTGATGACTCTGATGCAGGCCACACTTTGAGAGCAAAGCACAGCCACAGAAAAAATTAGAAAAGTTGACTATTCATGTGACACAAAGGCATATAGCTATGCCTTCTATATGTAGGCTTTGAATAACTTTTAATAATAGTAAAAAAGCCAGGATAGCTTTTAATAATGGTAGAAGCTACTCTTTATTTGGTACTTACTATATGACAAGCACAATGGTAATACACGTATTTCCCTTTTATCCTTAAAGAAAAAGTGTAGGCCAGGTGTGGTGGCTTACACCTGTAATCCCAGCACTTTGGGAGGCTGAGGCAGGCAGATCACCTGAGGACAGAAGTACGAGACCAGCCTGGCCAACATGGCAAAACCCCGTTTCTACTAAAAATACACGAATTAGCCAGGTGTGGTTGCGGATGCCTGTAGTCCCAGCTACTCGGGGAGGCTGAGGCAGGAGAATTGCTTGAACCCGGGAGGCAGCGGTAGCAGTGAGCCAAGATCATGCCACTGCACTCTCCAGACTGGGTGACAGAACAAGACTCCGTCTCAAAAAAAAAAAAAAGAAAAGAAAAGAAAAGAAAAAGAAAAAAGGAAAACTGCGAGGGTGGGGCATTTAATCCTGTTATACAGATAAGAAAACTGAGGAGCAAAAAGTTTAATTTTCATTAAGTACCATAGCCAGCTGGGGTATGAGTCCAGTTTGAAAGTTTGTGATTTTAATAATTACATCTACAGAACTTCAGAAAATATATTTTGAAATGAGTCTTAGGGCTAGGTAAACCCATGCATTACATGTATTATTAAAGGGAAATTAAGAATGATATCTCAAACCATAAATGATGGTATTAGGTAAGTCAGTAAGTATATCAACATGCAAATTAAAACAGATTATCAATACATAGGGATTGACTAAGTATAATATGGCAACCAAATTATCCCAGAATTGCCCTCTCAAAGTAACAAGAGCTTATACATGTGAACAAATTTTACACATTCTGTGATGTAAAAAGACTGTGTCATCAGTCATTGCAGAGAACCAGGCAGCAAGTCACTTCCTTACAATTGTTCACAGCTCTCTGATTAGCTACTTTGCCTGAAGCATAAAACATAAGCACATTCTTCCTCACCTCTATGGGTACTAACTGGACTGTTTAATGTGATGGAGTAATTAACAGAACCTTTTCTCCCATTGGGGACCTACGTGGCAAGTGCCCCATTAGGTCCTAGGTACATACAGAACCCAAAAAATAGAAGCCAATGTGGGGAGGAAATGGAACTCATTATTTTATATGCTATGGCACGATTTCCCCCCTACCAAATTTACTAGACTGATTAGTAAATGTAAGCCAAAATCTAAGGTGTGATTGAATCACTATAATATCCATCCCTTGAGAACTGTGACTCAGCAGATAGGAAAAGAGAAAACTAATGTCCAACATCTTGTCACTGACACTTGTGAAATTATCATTTGACAAACCATGAAATAATTTGGCAGGAATCCAATACAACAAATGAGTCATTTCATTAAATACAATTCTGTCTCCCCAGCTAAATGGTATGCAATGATAAGATCACCATTTTAATAGTTATCTAGAAATAGATGCCTAAAATTCTTTCCTTTATGACTTTTTAACAGCCAACCTGAGTACAATAATGATATTATCCAGAATTTATATGGTCAACATTCAATTGCTCACAAGGTTATTAAACAGTTTATAAATTATCCTGTTTTCTTCCCCTGCTCTCTGCTCCTAAGAATTACATTTCTTATTAGAATTTTCCTAAGGAAATGGAAAGAATGAATGGAAATGAAGTGGAAATGTTCAATATTTCAAGTTCTTAACACGTTTGGACATTATTTGAGGATCCTGGCTAAAGCCAAGATTTGCTGAAGGCTTTTAGGGTTCCCAGTTGCTATAATCTCTTTAAGACTCTGATAATTGAGGTAGACACCAAGGCAGAACTACGTAAAATTATCATGTCTGTAAACAACAAAAAAATGACACACAATTAAAAGCCAAAAAACTCATTATTGAATCAATAGTGAGAATTTATGTGGCTAACACCACACATAGCAAAAAAGATTTGATGTTAGGTATTAGGAATTGCAGCTGTTATATGAACCAATGAATCACAATTTGTTCATATTAAGACATAGGTAGTTATATACAGTTCACTGATCTTTTTTGAAATGTGATTGTGAGCCATTTCCATTGGATGAAAAAACAGACGCCTTGCCTTATTTGTCACTTTTACCCATGAAACCTAGTACATTTCTACATATATAGAAGACACTCATAAGTGTTTATTGACTTGTGATTTACAACATTAAGAATAAACAGAGATTTTTCCCTAACGGAAAATCATGTATATTGCTACATTTATGTTAATCATAAACTCTATGAAAACTAGCATAGCATTAGAGTTAGAAAACTGAATCATGTCTATCATTTTCAAACTCTATCCATCCTTGAGAAAGCTAGTTTCTTCAGATTAAAATATAAATACATTTAAAAATTCTGACAAAAGGGAGAAAAACTTCCCGTGTTTCATATGAAGTTAGGCGAAATTTGATTTACATTTGGAAAGAAGAGAAATCCACTTATTTTAGAAGTAAATCAAGAAATGTGCAAAATATCTATCAGGTATGAATTTAAAATATGATATTCATTCAATAATTTATAACAGATTGCTATAAATCAGATACCTGTATTGTATTTCTTCCCTGTGTCAGGTTTTGGAAACCACAGAGAAGTGCATATGACAGTGACAGGAAGCAGAGCCAAACTCCTAGGCAGATAGGGGTGGGTACCCAGTGAAACCCCACTTCCAAGCTGAAGACAGTTAAAGGCCTGAAAGCCAAACTACAAATCAAATCCTTGCAGTGGATTGAGAACTTGTCCTCCTATTTGGTGTGCTTTCCTCTGATTGATCTCCACCCTTCACCTATTTTACTTATACCTACTGATATGGTTTGGCTGTGCCCTCACCCAAATATCATCATGAATTCCCACATGTTGTAGGAAGGACCCAGTGGGAGGTAACTGGATCATGGGGTCAGGTATTTCCCGTGCTGTTCTCATGATAGTGAATAAGTTTCACAAAATCTGATGGCTTTGTAAGGGGGAGTTTCCCCACACAAGCTCTCTGTCTGCTGCCATCCATGTAAGACGTGACTTGCTCTTCCTTGCCTTCCAGCATGATTGTGAAGCTTCCCTAGCTACGTGGAACTCTAAGTCCATTAAACTCTTTTTCCTGTATAAATTATCCATTCTCTGGCATGACTTTATCAGCAGTATAAAAACAAATTAATACAGTGAATTGGTACCAGTAGAGTGGGGTGCTGCTGAAAAGACACGTGAAAATGTGGAAGCAACTTTGGAACTGGGTAACAGGCAGAGGTTGCAACAGTTTGAGAGCTCAGAAGACAGGAAAATGTGGGAAAGTTTGGGACTTCCTAGAGACTTGAATAGCTTTGACCAAGATGCTGATAATGATGTAGAGAATGAAATCCAAGCTGAGATGGTCTCAGATAGAGATGAGCAACTTGTTGGGAGCCCGAACAAAAGTGACTCATTATATTTTAGCAAAGAGACTGGGAGCATTTTGCTCCTGCCCTAGAGTTATAGGGAACTTTGAGCTTGAGAGGGGTGATTTAGCGTTATCTGGTGGGAGAAACTTCTAAGCAGCAAAGCATTCGTGAGGTGACTTGGGTCCTGTTAAGGCATTCAGTTTTAAAAGGGAAACAGAGCATAAAAGTTTGGAAAAATTACAGCCTGACAATGTGATAAAAAAGAAAATCACACTTTCTGAGAAGAAATTCACGCCCACTGCAGAAATTTGTATAAGTAACAAGGAACTGAATGTTAATCACCAAGACAATGAGAAAAATGTCTCCAGGGCACGTCAGAGACCTTTGTGGCAGCCCCTCCCATCACATGTCTGGAGTTTAGGAGGAAAAAATGGTTTTGTGGGCTAGGCCCAGGGTCCCTCTGTGGTGTGCAGCCTAGAGACTTGGTGCCCTGTGTCCCAGCCACTCCAGCTGTGACTAAAAGGGGCCGAGGTACAGCTTGGGCTGTTACTTCAGAGGGCGGAAGCCCAAGCCTTGGCAGCTTCCACGTCGTGTTGAGCCCGCAGGTGCACAGAAGTCAAGAACTGCGGTTTGGGAACCTCTGCCTAGATTTCAGAGGATGTATGGAAAAACCTGGATGCCCAGGTAGAAGTTTGCTGTAGGGGCAGGGCCCTCATGGAGAACCTCTGCTAGGGCAGTGCAAAAGAAAAATGTGGGGTTAGAGCCCTCACACAGAGACCCTACTAGAGCACTGTCTATTAGAGCCATGAAAAGAGGGCCACTGTCCTCCAGACCCCAGAATGGTAGATCCACTGGCAGCTTGCAACACACACCGAGGAAAGCCACAATCAATGCCAGCTCATGAAAGCATCCAGGAGGGAGGCTGTACCCTGAAAAGCCGCAGGGGCAGAGTGGCCCAAGACCACGTGAACCCCTCTCTTGCATCAGCATGACCTGGATGTGAGATACGCAGTCAAAGGAGATCATTTTGGAGCTTTAAGATTTGACAGCCCTGCTGGATTTCAGACTTGCATGTGCCCTGAAGCCCCTTTGTTTTGGACAATTTCTCCTATTTGGAAGGGCTATATTTACCCAATGCCTGTAACCCCACTGTATCTAGGAAGTAACTAATCTGCTTTTGATTTTATAGGCTCACAGGCAGAAGGAAATTGCCTTATCTAGGATGACACTTTGGACTGTGGAGTTTTGAGTTAATGAGGGAATGAGTAAAGACTTTGGTGCACTGTTGGGAAGGCAAGATTGGTTTTCAAATGTGAGGATATGAGATTTGGGAGGGGCCGGGGGTGGAATGATATGGTTTGGCTGAGTCCCCACCCAAATCTCATCTTGAATTCCCACATGTTGTCAGAGGATCCCTGTGGGAGGTAATTGAATCATGGGGACAGGTCTTTCCCATGCTGTTCTTGTGGTAGTGAAAGTCTCACGAGATCTGATGGCTTTGTAAGTGGAGTTTCCCTGCACAAGCTTTCTTTGCCCTCTGTCATTCCTGTAAAATGTGACTTACTCCTCCTTGCCTTCCACCATGATTGTGAGGCTTCCCCATCCACATAGAATTGCAAGTCTATTAAACCCTTTTTGCTGTATAAATTACCCAATCTCAGGTATCTCTTTATCAGCAGCATGAAAACGGACTAATACACAAGCACTGACTTCTCCCTGCTTAGAACACCTTTCCATCCCCACCTGTATTTTCCTCCCTCATGCCTTTACCCTCTTCCTTCTCCACAACAAGCTAGTACCCAGACTTCCATCTAAATATCACTTCCTTCAAAAAGACTTCATTTCTTATTCCTCCAGATACAGATTCCCTGATTTACTATTTTTATAGCACTCTGAATTTTAAATAGTACACATCAAAAATAAAATTAAACTATTATACAATCATAATTATGCTGGTATTCCTCAAAAGACAATATATTCCAAGACATGAGCCTTTTCTTATGTCTTCAATAAATTCATTCAGGCCTAACAGAACACTTTGCCCATAGGAGGTGCTTAATGAACATTTATGGAATTTATAGTTCTTCCAGATGTGGTTCGACTTTGCATTGAGTCTACCTTAGAAATTTGTTTTTCATACTCATAAAGATTTCCTATTTGACCACCACAAACCCTCTGCACTGCCACTCATAGTAAGCCACACAGGGAGTATACTCCAACCAAGCTTCAGTACAAATTCTTCCCTCAGCTGTGGGTGTTCTATAACATTTAATTGGCTTTCTTAAAATCTGACACAAATAACTAAAGACTCTTGATGCTTTGTCAGAGCAAAGGAGTGTGAAACCATTATCTCCTCTAAATACTACATTATACTATACTTTGTATCATATTTCTGTTAATTTAGCATTTTTAGAATATTTATAATACAATGTTAGTTCTCCCTTTCTGTACTTGCGTCTACATGTTAATATGTTCTTGAGGGAAGGAACCGAGCCTTATTCACCTTTATATAACCTAGCAAGTTGACCACATGGTTGGTGTTACATAACAAGCCATTGAAAATAAAGCAAGCAAGCAATTAAGAAGGTACCAAACCCTGCTCAATTCTATTTTGTGGGTTTTGACCCCGTGATTTAGCCTATCATGAAAAATTCTCATCTTCATTTTGACCCCCCACCCAGATTTGTGCCATCTGCAAAATTGAAAATTACCCCTTTGCTGATGTTATGTAAGGTATTGATCAATTATTCAGCAGCACAGAACCTGTGGTAGCTTACTAATTATAATAAAACAATATTTAGAGTTGCTGGTCACTTAATATCTACCAAGCACCTTTTTAAATACTTTTACATGTATGTAACTACATACATACATGTTAAACTTAAATATTTTCAAAACAATCTTATCAGATGGATACAATTATCGCCATTTTACAGATGAGGAAACTGAAACACAGTATGACTAACTTTCTGAGGGCCACACAGCTTTTAAGTAATACAGCTAGGATTCAAACCCAAGCAGTGCATCTCAAGATCTCAGACTTTTACCACTCTGCCCTCCTGACTAAAATGTGTATTCTATATACAGAGCTCACTCTCCCAAGTCAATATGGTTATTAATTCCTCTGCCAACTCTGTCATATAGATCACTTATCACCATCTTATCCCGATACCATAGAACCTTAGCCACTGTTTTACTCAAATAGAAATAAACCATTAAAAAAAAAAAATAGGTGCCACAGTAAAAGTATGATCTCTTCAACCTGATGAGACCATCACAACCAGTCTCAAAACTTCTTTTCTGAAGAACAAGCTATTAATTTAGATGAATGAGTCAATAACAAACTTATCGCAGATTTAAACATACAGAAATTTTCACGGCAAATCTGTAAAATATGAGGTCAATAAATATCTAATTTATACTCAATAGCATTTATACTGTTATAGAAATGATGCAATATACAAGACACATAACTGTACATAACACCCTAGCCATTAAATCATTGTGCAGATGGCTCCCACTATCATTGTGACTTCTGTGCCTCTTTCCCCATAGTGTTTGCCAAGCCATAAGCTGATATTTTATTTTACCTTCAGTTCTCTGTACATTACAGCTTCTCTGCCTGCAACATCCTTTTCATCTGGCTCCTTTACATGTCAGGTAAGTTACCACTGCCCCTTCAAAGCCTTTCCTTACGGCCTGAGTTTTGGTTCAATGCATGACCTGACTGTAAAACACTATTTCCCACATCATGTATGTCTTTCCCTACTCATCACATTGCTGAAGAATTGCCCATGTATCTGCTTGTCTCCCATGATAAGGACAATGTCTTTTTCCTTTATAACATAATGAGGAGAGCTCAATAATGAAAGCTCAACTTTTTTTTTGTATGGGTGAATGAGTAGTTCTAAGTAAATACAGTAAATTTACTTACAGTATCAATTTCAAAGAAATTCTCTCCTCTAAAAATATTGTCTTCAGACAAGGAAAAAAAACACAAAAAACGGAACATGACTAAAATCTTAAAGGAAGATACGGAAGTGAGCACACAATCCTTCTGAAGTTAAAATATTTCTATAAATTCATATAGCTGTATTCTAAATCTTTTTGGTAAGAATCCCTGAAATGTATTCTGAATTCTAATAGATGAAAAGTTCCCTGTGGGCAGGTAATGTGTTTACTCCAACTAAGAGCAGCCCAACACAGGAATATTTGCTCTTTGAGGAGTAATACATGTTTTATAACTCAATGATGTTTTCATATTCTTGAGTTCTTAATTACAAATATTTTCAAACAATATTCAATTATTTGCTTGCCAGGTATAAAATATAAGTTAAATAGCAATAAAAATATCAATGGTTTGAATTTAATAACATGTTTTTTCCTTAGCACTATATTTTCTAAATAGTATTAGCTACTTAATTAAACTTTTCCTCAATTGGGAAGTGATCAAGAAAATGGTTGTGTATCAAAAGGCAGAGTAAGTGAAAACAAGTTGGTTACAGGAGGAAGCAGGGTATGGGTTTCGCTTGTGCTATATTAACTGCTCCACTGGAGCAAACTAATTAATTTTTCTTCATTGCACTGTAATCAGCAAGCTTAATCTAGGGCAAAGAAGAATACAATTGTGATTGCAAATATTAAGGTCTTACTACCTGTCATTCAGTTGCAGTAACTACAGAAAGTCTATTCAATAATTAATGTGCTATGGCTATTGGCTTTGTTTTGTTATTGAATACATTTATTTTAAGCAGCATTAAGCGCATAAATTAAATCTTAGTAACATTTTCATATAAGTAACTATCATTAAAATGCATTTGTTCCACAGAAGAAAGAATTATCTCACCATTCCGGCTCAACAAGAAATTCAGTCCTGAACAGACAAAAAAGTTTAAAAATATTTTATAAACATTAACCTGGACTTTTCGTAGAAGAAATAAAGCTGAGAACGTCATATTTCAGCAGCTTCAATACTTGTTTTCTGATTGAATCATAAATTTCATTACTTTATACTTGCTTCTACAATGACAAAGTACCCAAAGCTAAATGTGAATGTCTAGTAGGTCAGAAAAATGTGTAGTCGAATATGGTTTTTGATGACAATAAAATCGCTAAAAACCAAAAGCATTCAGAGAGTGTAAGAGAACAAACACATCTCTTCAAATATTTAAATAACCCTATGGGCAACTTGATATGATGTCAATATTATATGTCTTACGCATCTAGTTTATAAAAGTCATCAGGAAAAAAATACAAGATTAATCTCCTTGTGGATCAATTTGGGAAACAAATGAATAAAACCACAGATCTACACATAGATAGAGGGACATTCCAAGGACAATCACTACTTCAGCCTTTAATCTTCTGGATAACTGGTGAAAGCCTTGGCAGGAAGCACTCCAAGCTACTTATTAAAAAGGTAAGAGGATGTTCTTATGGATACAATCAAGTATATATCAAACCATATGCTGTCACTTGCCCCATCTACATTTTCCCAACTTTACAGTTAGAATTAAGTGATGCAAAACAGCTTAAGAGAGGATCTGATGGAAAGCAAAGTGCCCTATATCCCTCCACAGCTCATCACTGGTTTGAAGTCAGGCCATAAGTTCATGGTGACATGAAATTCTCTTCAAGACCAAATTAGTCTTCGTCAGCAAGAAATTCCCTACAATTCAGGGTTTAACTCTTAAAGAGATTAGCTCCATTTTTTTTCTAATTTCGAATTTACTTAACATGACAAATTTTATATATTTATAGTATACAATATATCTTGATAGGCATATACATTTAAAAATGGCTCAATCAAGCCAATTGATATATCCATTACCTCACATGCTTGTGAGAACATTTAAAGTCTATTCTTTTTGAAATTTTCAAGCATACAATACATTGCTATTAACTATAGTCTTGTTATATACACCCAACAGTTCTCTTGAATTTCCCTCTCCAACCTAACTGAAATTTTGTGTAACCCCATTCTTAACAAGTTATATGATTCAGGGATATAATAGAAAATGTTGAGACATACACATTCTATCTAGTTTTAGCCCAACTTTCAAGGCTCTCCAGAATTTCCTCTACTTTGACTTTATAATTTTTCTTTCGATTCTGATATGGTTTGGTTGTTTCTTCCCCCAAATCTTGAATTGTAGCTCCCGTAATTCCCACCATGTCATGGGAGGGACCTGGTAGGAGGTAACTGAATCATGGCGGCAGGTCTTTCCCATGCTGTTCTCGTGATAGTGAATACGTCTCACGAGATCTGATGGTTTTATACAAGAAAGTTTCCCGGAACATGCTTTCTCTTCTTGCCTGTCTCCATGGAAGATGTGACTTTGCTGCTCATTTGCCCTCCACCATGATTGTGAGGCCTCCCCAGCCATGTAGAACTATGAGTCAATTAAACCTTTCCTTTATAAATTACCTAGTCTTTGGTACGCCTTTATTAGCAGCATGAGAACAGACTAATACAGATTCCTTTATAGGTTTATTTTGAACAGTAGATGCCTCTTTGTATTTTGCACTGTATCCCATCAACCCATCTCTCATTTTTGCTGCAGTTCCTGTTTCTGCTGTTAGAGGGTTAACACCCTTTCACTTCCTAGCTCTAGCAACAGGAGGAGGAGGAGGAAGAGGAGGGAGGAAAATAAATTGTCCTTCAAAGGGACATTTCTGAGGACAGTTCTATAAGGTTCTATAATGTCCCAGGCAAGGTTGAGGTACAGTTACCTATTATGGTCATCAGTTCAACAATGTTATCTTTATTAGCTTTTCCTTCTTCCTTGTCTCACTTTTCCAGGTCCCACATGTTCCTGAGTTTTCTTACTAGTTTCTTTGATAATCAGCCAATCATGGCTTTCTGTCAGGCTTTGCTTTGGGGGAAAACTCAAACTGACACTCTTGACTATTGCTGTCACTTAAACTGAACTCTTAGAGAGCAGTGGTGATACATTTTAATTCTTTAGCTTTAGGGGCCAGAGAGGGAAGATGATGCAGACTTCTCAAGCTCACGCAGCTCTAGATGGCAGAGACTGCATTTAAATCCAGGTCTTTCTCCTCCCTGCGTGTTGCTACATGCCATTTTGGTACCTCTCTACAGGCTTGCCTTCCATAACCTTTCAAAGTTCAGCATTCTCCTACTCATCCAAATGAACACAGTAGTCATGTTTTATTCCATCCACTTGATAAAATAATGGGTCACAGCACAGCACTTGATCCATTGTTATTCAACGACCAAGACTCTTGAGTTCCTGTAATTATGTAACAAGCCCCTTAACTGTCAGTGGTCATAAAGGCAAGAATCTCAGACTTCGGAATCAAACCCCCCATTTACTCTTACTGCAATTTGCCCTCACACAGGTATTCTCAAGATTACGAGATAACAAAGTGTAAGAGCTTAGCACAGTGCCTGAAACACAGGATGTGTTCAATAAAGGGTGGCTATTATTTTCACCTGGAGCAAAACGACCACAAATAGGGGCCATGTGCTCCGCAGCATCCCCTGCCTGTCTCCCAAAGCCAGAACAATGAGACCAAATAGGCGTCCACAAACAAAACAGACATGTAAAATGAAAAAAATAAAAAAGATAAAATGCCCTCTTTTACTTCATCTGTATGTTTTTCCTATGCCCATCCCTCTTCTCTATTTCGAAACATGCTCTCACATTGTTTTGCAACTGGGAATACTCATTTTATCTTATCCAATTCTAACTATCTTTAAGTTTCAGCTCAACTTCTACTTCTGGATGTTTCCTATTTTCCATCACAGCCCTTGTTGATTTCTCTCATATATTTCTACAGCATTCATACACTATAAAGTGAAATTTACTACTTCACAAATAATTTTACTTCAGACCTATTGAACTATTTTGGTCAGTCCTGACTCTCAAGTTACACTGAAAGTTGCTAGAAGGAAAGGATCATTTCTAATTTTTCTCTGGGGTCCTCTGGCACAATACTAAACTTATCAGGCACTGAATGCTTAATCCTGTAGACAAAATGTGGAAGTAACAAAGACAGGACTCAAGAAAAACCTAATTTACTCTTCTCTTTCTCATTCCCCCTTAGATGCATTTCTATATTCAATGTTCATTCTGATTTCCAGGTAGCACTTTCCCCACTTTCTTTCCTAGCTTAATCCTTTCACTGCTCAGCAATATGCGGCACACCTGGCAACATGGGAGAGATGAGTTAGTTACTGCAAAATTGTTTGCTTGTTCTCTTAATGCCTTACCTCAATTTCTCTATGGCAATAAGGCTATCATATCCAAACAGAAGAACTAAGCTAAATGGATTCATCATTTCACAAAGTGATTCTTTAGCAATTTTCTTATTATTTTATATATTTTTGGTTTCATATATAATGCTACCTCAGAAATTCAGATATGCAAAGTTTAAAACTCCTTTTTTAAAGTTTCAGAGAGCTACAACTACAGACGAGATAAGCTTTAGCTTGATGAATTTCATACTGACTACTGGATCTTATGTTTAAGGCAGATGCAGGTTTTTCTTGGGGGGGGGGGGGGGGCGGGGGAAGACCCAGGCAGGCCCATGTGATACATTTCTTCAGGATTCTAACAATTTTCCACTCAGAAAGTAGTCCCTCAGGAAATTATTAACTGTAAAATAAGATAGAGGATAAAAAAAGAATTCTGAAGCAGAAAAATACATGGAATCAGAAGCAAAGATGCTGAATAAATCTGCATTGAAAAATGGAAAGTTCCTATTTTGTGTTTATATTATACTTTTGACTCTTGTAATTATTCTTCTTAAATGTCACAAAAATCCCCCCAACTATTACTATTCCACTGCTATGTATGTGGAGATGTACATACCCAATTATTAGGTAACGTACCCAAGGATCAATTAGATAATAAAAGAAACATTACTGTAACACAGGACTTCTTTTTACACTACCTTCTATTAAAAAGAGGAGACATAAGTATGTGAAATGGAATCAGTATGCCACATAGTATTTAACAGCATTATTCAATTGTCATATTTGTTAGTACCTCATGATAAATGTTAGGCAGAAAGCCTTCTCTATCTCTCTTCACCTTCCAGGGCAAATATCTGCCCTACTTTGTTGCCACAGAGAATAAATTTTCCATGACTGCAAGCTCTATTGAAAATAGAAGAGAAATGGAAAGGTCCAGAATTTAAAGGAACTGTATCTCTCTCCCATTCTACTGTATGTCCCTTGAGATTAGAGACATTTGTTTCCCCAGTGCCAATCAGAGACATGATACATAGTGTTCAATAAATGCTTGGTGAATGAATTGGTGAAAATAACTTATGAATTATGGTTGCAGGAGGGAAGAACAGAGTGATATAATGTTAAACATATTCAGGTTTACTTGCAAGGAATGGGAAACTGAATACTTCATATATTGATGTTGCATATAGGCATCATTATGATCATTTGGAAATTAGTCAAAATGTCTTTAATGCATACCTTTTGATCTAGCTATCCTGGGTTCCTAGCATGATACCTCATATATAAATGCACACTCGATAGCTTTTTGTACCTCACATAATGACATGATTTTCTATACCTTGAATATGCCTTCCTCTTATTTCTTCTTCATTGGTGCTTTTGCCTTGCTATTTCACCTGGAATGCTATTCTTCCCTATTTCTACCTATCAAGGCCTTTCTCTAAAATATAGCCCAAATGTACTCTCCGGGCATTATTTCTCTCTCTCTCTCAAGTGATTGCAATGCCTTTTTATTTGAACTCTTTGGACTACACTTAAATGTTATCAACTCATGTCCAAGATGTTTACAAGTGTCATTTGTTCCTGTGACTTTAATAATGTTGTCTCCTTTTTTTGCAGCGTCTATTTAATTTTATCTCTTACCATAAACCCACCTGGCCTATCCAGGGATTTCTTCAAGAAGCACAGCTACTGTATGGCACATTCTACACTAAATCCCCAGTATATAATCTGCTCATTTAGTGATAAATCGGTGATGCTCTTCACAGGAGACTGAAGAGAGACACTCAGAAGTCTTAGAATTGTGTGCTTCTAGAATACAAAGAATTTCCACAATCATAGAGTCTGAGGACTTTTAATCATTACTATTTTCACAGCTTTTGGAGTAGACAGACTCAGTCCCCAGAAAAATGGCCAATGTAACTTATACACACACATACACAATGATGATGATGATTATCTTTAAATGTGACAGGTCCACCCAGTAGATTTCCATGTGGAATCAAAGTCAGATGCCATAAATGACTGGAGTGGCAGAGTCTGTCAGTGGAGTTACATAAACTGTGTGTATGGCGAGTGCAGCTCCAGACTGAACAGTAATGTGCCCGCTTTGAGGGAGGAGAGTAGCACTCCTCAGTACTACCAGGATGGTGCCATTGCAGAATGTTGCCCCAGAGCTGCTAGATCTGCTAACAGAAACCCAAATCTGTAGTAAGGTGTAGATCAAACAAAACATATCTCTGGGTTCCTTCCAGACTTTCCATTAACAGTTTATAACGTCTTCTGAACTATCTGTTCACATACTTAAACCTGAGTCCTCGGGCTGGGCATGGTGGCTCATGCTTGTTATCCCAGCACTTTGGGAGGCCGAGATGGGCAGATCACAAGGTAAGGAGATCGAGACCATTCTGGCTAACACAGTGAAACCCAGTCTCTACTAAAAACACAAAAAATTAGCCAGGCATAGTTGCACGCGCCTGTAATCCCAGCTACTCGGGAGGCTGAGACAGGAGGAATCATTTGAACCTAGGAGGCAGAGGTTGCAGTGAGGCCAGATCGTACCACTGCACTCCAGTCTAGGTGACAGAGCAAGACTCTGTCTCAAAAAAAGAAAAAAAAAGAAAAAAAAAATCAAAAAAAACAAAAAAACCCTGAGTCCTGACTAGCTCTCCTGCAGGAGAGTGTTACTGAGTTAAGCAATCAGGAGAAATGAAACTCTATCAACCGATGGTCACCTATTAACAAATAAGATGGCATACTTCTGTACTATTGCTATTCATTTATTTATCCATTCCACAAACATTTTTCACCTACCATCTCTTCGGCATTCTCCTAGCTACTGGCTATACAGTACTGAAGCCAACGGACAAAGTCCTTGACACCAAACATTCTAGTAGGGGAAGCAGAGAAGAAATAAGCTAGATAATCAAACAAGGTAATTTCAGATAATGATGATGATTTTAAAGCAAGAAGTGTGAATAGGATACAGGAATGGCTGGGAGGGCTCATCAGGAGAGCTCTTTTACATATGGTAGACTGCAAAGGATTCTTCTGAAGATGAGACCTTTCGGCTCAGACTGAATGGCAGGAAGTTGTCAGCTATATAAAGAGGGAGAAGAAGTATGTTCTTGCTTGACCGGAGCCTGGTGAAGTAAGGGAACCAGTGTGAAGTGAGATCAAGAAGCAAGCAGGGGACAGATCACACAGGGTCTTGCTGGCTGCTTTCAGACTCCAGACATTTTTCTAAGTACAATGTAGAGTCTTCAGAAGGTGTTAAATAGGGAACACATGACCTAATTAATGTAGTAAAAAGATAACTTTGTATAATGCGAAGAACTGAGAGACTGCTTAGGAAGTTACTGCAATATTAGGAGGCTATGGAATATGATGGAGTGTCAGTGGTGCTTCCTTTGAATAAAAGCAGCTTTTATTTTTCAATTAAAATGTAACATAATTGGTTTCAGTAAAAATGTCTCAGTTGACCTTATTTCTCCTGCATTAATGGGGTCATTTATATGATATGTCAGGAGTGCTACCGCTGTACACAATGAACAGCTTTTTTCAATTAAAACGTAGCTTAATTGACTTGAACCAGAAATGACTCTTGACATCTTTGTATTAATAGGACCATTTCTATAATGATCATGCTAATTAATCTTCTTCATTCAAAAGTATTGTTTATTCAGAATTATTTAATACAATCGTTATACTTTTAAATCATTTTAATGTTATTAAATATTATCTCAGGATCTTGAAGTCTATTGGATTGTTATGCTGATTTAAAGAGTGCAAAAATATTTATAGTTATGTTTTAGTTTAAAGCAGTGATTAAATATAATTTGCCTGTGACCCTGTAGGCCAAAATAATGTATCACGATAAACTGTAGATAGTGTCAGAGATGAAAACAGTGTTTGTCTGCTTTAGTGTATTCATATGTGAGGATGAATTTTGGCACTTGTCAGCCTATGAGAAATTACTACTAGACTAATACTTGTCAGTACAGTAACAACTCATCATGCTCTAAACACCACTAAGGGAGAAAAGTGATGAATAACATACAAAGTAAAAATTTTCACAATCACATTAATGACTCTAGTTCAAAGCACAGTAATGGTCTACCAACCTTATTGTCCAATCTATATTTCAAGTGTCTACCTTGATATCTTTCAGAATCAATTTTACGTCAAATTCCAATTAACATAGAAAAAAAGCAGTAGCGATAAAAACATGTCTCTATTGACTTTTCCAAAAGCAATCGTGCTCTCCAAACCCCAGCCTCATTTACTATTACTGAAGCAAAACGAAATACTAAGAGTACTGTGTGCAAATAAAAAACGTTTGTTGATTATCTGTTAAAAAAGACCCCAAATTAAAAACAGCCTAAATAATGAGTATTACCCGCACACAACAACAGTATGCTATGGATTTATAAAATTATCATTCTTCCTAAACTGATAACGAAAATCTTTAAAATGAATAAAATGTTACTAATATATTTCACAGTATGCACTGAATGGACTACATAATTCCATTTGGGTTTAAGTTGAGGTTTTTTTTTTTTCCAACTAAATGGTTAAAAATTATGTTTAGAGAACAATCTGGAAAATATATACTCACAGACAATAGGCATACAATTGACAATTGAGCACAACTACATTAAATTTACACTATAAAACTCAATCATCCAACACTTATGAATCCAAACATTTTCTAAAACTTTACAAGAAAGCTTATAGGTTTTTATCATGGTAAAATATATATAACATAAAACATATAATTCTAATCATTTATAAGCATACAATTTATCAGCATTAAGTATATTTACCTTGTTGTGTCACCATCCCCACCATCCACCTCCAAAAATTATCTTCCCCCAAAAAACTTCATATCCATTAAATAACTCCCCATACCTTCTCTCCCCCAGCTTCTAGAGGCCACCATTCTACTTTATCTATGCATTTTACTGCTCTAGATAGCTCATACAAATAGAATCATATGTTATCCTTTTGTATCTGGCTTTTTCCCCTTAGCATATCATCATCAAGATTCATCCATGCTATAATGTGTGTCAGAACTTTCTTAAGGCTGAATAATATTCTACTGTATACATTTACCACATTTTGTTTATCCATTCATCTTCAGATGGACATTTGAGTTGCTCCATCTTTTGCTACTATGAATAATGCTGCTATAAACATGGGTGTACAAATATATTTTGAAGGTCCTTTTTTCAATTCTTTTGAGTATATTCCCAGAAGTGGAATTGCTGGATCACATGGTAATTCTACGTTCTATATTTTGAGAAACCAACATATTTGTTTCCACAGTGACTGCAAGGTTTTACATTCCCTCCAGCAGTTCACAAGTGTTCAAATTTTTCCACATCCTCAACCATATTTATTTTCTGGGTTTTTTTTTTTTTTTTTGGTGTTTTAAAATAATCATCATCCTAATGGGTGTGAAGTGCTATCTCATTTGGGATTTATCTGCATTTCCCTAATGATCAGCGATATCGATTATCTACTCATGGTCTTACTGGCCAAACTTTAGAGAAATTTCTGATCAACTCATTTATTCATTTTTTTAATTGCTGTTTTTCTGTTGTTGAATTCTACGATGATATAATTTAACTGTGTCCCCACTCAAATCTCATGTTGAATTGTAATCCCCAATGTTGGAGTTGGTGTCTGGTGGGAGGTGATTGGATCACTGGGGCAAATTTCTGATGAATGGTTTAGTACTGTCCGCTTGGTACTATTCTCGTGATAGAGAGTTCTTATGAAATCTGGTCGTTTAAAAGTGTATGACATCTCCCTCCACCCCTCTTGCTCCTGTTCTGACCATATGACCTGCCAGGTCACCCTTCCCTTTCTGCTTTATGTTTCCTGAGGCCTCCCCAGAAGCCGAGCAGATGCCAGCATCATGCTTCCTGTACAGCCTACAGAAATGTGAGCCAATTAAACCTCTTTTCTTTATAATTTACCCAGTTTCAGATATTTCTTTAGAGCAATGCAAGAATGGACTAACATATAGGAGTTCTTGGCACAGTCTGGATATTAATTCCCTATTGAATATATGATTCGCAAACATCTTCTCCCATTCCGTAAGTTGCCTTTTCACTCTGATGGTGTTCATTCATGCACAGAAGTTTTTAATGTTGATGCATTTCAATTTACCTAATTTTTCTGTTGTAGCCTGAGCTTTTAGTGTCATATCCAAGATATTTAATTGCCCAATCTAATGTTTATGTTTTCTTCCAAATGTCTACGCTTTCTTCTAAAAGTTCTGTACTTTTGGCCACGTTTACTTCCTGATCCATTTTGACTTAATTTTTGTGTATTTTATAAGAGTCCAACTTCATTTATTTTAAATGTATATATTCAGTTTCTTAGCAACATTTGTGGCTTCATTAAAAAATCATTAAAAAACCTTGGCAACCTTATGGAAAATTGTTTGACAATATATAGTAGAGTTTACTTCAGGGCTATTATATTCTATTGTTCTACATTCCCTTTTTTTAAGCCAATACCACAGTGTTTTGATTATGGTAGCTTTGTAGTAAGTTTTGAAATCAGGACGTATGACCCTTCAACTTCATTCTTTTTTCAAGATCGTTTCAACTATTCCTGGATCCATGAGATTACATGGGAATTTTTGATAGAGTTGTCTATTTCTGCAGAAAAACTAATTGGGATTTTCTTAGAGATGGCACTGAATGTGTAGTTTGTTTTGAGTAACTCGGATACCTCAACAACAATATTGAGTGTTCCATTTCATAAACCTGGGGTTCCTTTTCATTTATTTATAAAAATAAATGTTTAATTTCTTTCAGGATTGTTTTGTAGTTGTCAGTGTATAAGTCTTCCACCTTCTTGGTTAATTCCTAAGTATTTTACTCTTTTTGTTACTATTTTAAATAAAATTGTTTCCTTAATCTCCTTTTTGGACTGCATCACTGTTAGTGCATAAAATATAACTTATTTCTGTATATTGATTTTATTTACTGCAATTGTGCTTAATTTATTAGTTCTAGCAGGTTTTTTGTGTGGAAATCTCTAGAATTTTCTACATATAAGATCATATCATCTGAGAAGCTTATAAAATTTTTGCATACACTCTTTCAAAGCTGATTTTTCTGATGAAAATTTGAAATGCATTGCACAGCATGAATATAGTTAATAGAGTATTGCTCATTTCGAAGCTGCTAAGAGAGTACACTTCAAATGTTCTCTCCACAAAAGTCTTTGAGGTGATAGATATGTTAACTAGCTTGATTTAATTACTCCACATTGTATTCATAAATTCTACCATCACTTTGTATGCCATATATTTATACAATTATATATTGTCAATTTACAATAAAAAGAGGCATATAAAATTTGCATTCTCTTAAAGTCTTTAATGCTTGCCAACACCATTTCTCTGATTCAATTCAAGCTGTCCAATGCCGCATTAATACATACCATTAAACAAAACTACTCCGCATTATAGGCATAGTAATAGGATTACATTTACCTGGCTTCCAACCAAAAGCAACACCGCTAACATTAAAATAAAATATTCTCATCATGAATTAGTAATTTCATATTAACAGAAGCTAAAGGCACCTAGTATTTTTTGAGGCTCATTTGCATATGGGTATATACTCAGATTTCTTTTCCAAAAAAGTAGCCATTTAAAGGGAACCCTGGTGTAAAATTTAGAAAACAGATGTAGAAAAATCATAAAATATCCAAATAAGTTTTTACAAAATTTTCCTATGCTATTTCCTTTATATTTTCTTTAGTCCATCTCCATTTATGAATTATTCAGGAAAAAAAACCCCAAAATGATTTTCCGTGTTATAGAAGATCATACTCCAAAATTGACCAAAAAGCTTCATTTGTTAAGACTGTAAGTTCTATATGTGCCATTAAACATACTTACTTTTTCTAGACTTATAGTCCCAATTCTGACGTTTATATCCAATTTAGAGTGTCAGACTATTTCTTCTCTCCTCTATTTTAGAGGCAGTCTGAAGTCTTTCAACAAGAAAATTTTGTAATGAGGTGGGTTTTTTTCCACTTAGTGTTTGATCAGGAACAAAGCATCTAATTACTTGGAGCCCATTTTCTCATCTGGAATATTAAGCTAATGCTATTTTGTCAATAGGATTTTTGTAAGGATTATAACTAGTCTATAAAACATTATGCAAGTATTTGATTCTACTGTCACAAGAACCGATGCTTTCAAAAATACATTAATTCAGACCTCAACACCAATTAGATATATAAGCATTTATGTGTTATACCTGATGCTCATCTATATATATACACACCCTACTATGTGTCTGTAAATCTCTGTTTGGGAGAAAGGTGCAATACACCATGCTAAAGAATCAATTATTTTCATAAAGGCTTAACTATTGATAAGAGATATAGATATAACATTGAGTGTTTCACAGGAGTTACACACACACATAACTTTATTCAATTTCCAGCAATGTTTCAACTAAAAATATTCTGTCAAAGTCAATTTACATAATGGTGAGATTAAAGTAAAACTAAGAAACGTCAGTGGATACCAGTAGAATATGACAGTTTATTAATTTTATTTATAACACACAAAAGAAAAATATGTTAAAAAATGAATATGCTATCTTGCAAACACTGTCTACTATGGCAGACACTAAGAAAACTTATTTAATAACAAGACTGAAATTAGATTTCCGTCAGATGCTGTCTTTAGAATTTGGGGAATAGAGCTATTCATCCCTGGATGTGTTTCTTGGAGATGTGTCAATATCGTAACAATGAAAAACAAAATTGCTTTATACCGTTAGATATTTCTGATACAATCTTTGCCCACTCGTGGGTTTCATAAAGCTTTGTGCCAATTTTGTCACCAAGACAAGTGTATCTGATCTAACACAAATTGAACACTTTTCAGCAAAGCATTGTGTATATTATTTAATTCCCCATTCATATGTCATGAAGGGAACCAGCATGGTTACCACAATAAATTTATTTAAATCAACAAAATTCAATGTCAGAATGTATCATTTTTTTCTATGGTATACTTAAGGTTCCATTAAATTTACTGACATTCCTTCATTTTAGAAATTATAATCCCACTGGGACCACGATTTTCTTAACATAGAATTGAATCTAATGGATATTTTCCTCTTATTGACTTGAGGTAATTAAGCTCCCCATTGAGAAGACCACCAGATAGTTTTATTTATGAAGCTGATAGTTCCTAACTATGGCAGAGACAGGCTGTCAAACAACCATGTCCTTTCTCCAGCTTTTAAAGTATAGATTTTTCACTTAGAAGCAGCCACTCAGCCAGCCACTGCATTATCCTTGTAGACAGGCATGGCTATATACATGTTTCATGAGCACACATCCCCTTCATGTGGAAAGTGAAGGGAGCACATATGCATCACCTCTACCACAAGGCTTCTAAGAAGTCACTGTGGCTTTTCTGTATTTGCTTCCCCCTCTTCAATGGCTATATGAAAAAACAAAAAAACAAAAAACATCATCATCTGTGAAGAAGGTAGAGCCACAACAAAGGCAGAAAAATATAGAAAAATATTAGTCACTGTAATTAGTCCATTTTCACACTGCTGATAAATACCTGCCGAGACTGGACGATTTACAAAAGAAAGACGTTTAATTCATTTACGGTTCCACGTGGCTGGGGTGGCCTCACAATCATGGCAGAATGCGAAAGGCATGTCTCACATGGTGGCAGACGAGAAGGTAACTTGTGCAAGGAGTCTCCCCCTTATGAAGCCATCAGATCTCACGAGACTTACCACTATCAAGAAAACAGCACGGGAAAGACCTGCCCCCATGATTCAATTACCTCCCACTGGGCCACTCCCAGAACACGTGGGAATTCAAGATGCAATTTGGGTGGGGACACAGCCAAACCATATCAGTCACCAATAAGGAACACCTACATTGGACTTATACCTGGGCTACATATAAACTATTGTTTTAAGCTCCTTTCTATTTTGGCACTTATGTGTTAAAGCAGCAAGGTTGTTTAGCTAATTCAGTGACACGAGATCACACTTTGTTTCTGATGATTTAAATAAGAATTAATAGAATTCAGTTGCACCAGGCCATCAAGACTAATCATGCCCTTGGAAAGATATAAGAGCAGATGAATAATTTTTCTGTGTCACCTCAAATTCTGTGGTACTACAGCTTATAGCCAAGTGATATATTCTAGTTTTATTAGTAAATTGAGTAAACATTACTATCCAGGAAAAACCAGAAAAAAAAAAAAACAGGAGGCTTATAATAAATATGACATTTTATCTTTGAAATATAAACCAGCTTCATGGAATAGTCATCTTTAAGTTCTAGGACAGTGGCAAAGTTTTTAAAAGATTGAACACATAGTCATCACCAATAAACCCTTACTTAGTACAGACTATGCATGAAGTACTAAGGTAAGTGACTTCTGTAAGATAAAAACATGGAGGAAACCCTTTTGTGGTTCAGGAACATGTATTCCCAAGGTTGGTGTAACTGAAGGTTAGTTTAAGAATGGGTACAGAACACATGGTGGGAAGCAATAAAAGGCAGGCATAGAAAGCCGGATTTTGTTTAGAAAGAACATGGGGTTGTATTAACAAGAGAATGACATGCTTAGACCTGTCATCTTCAAACACTAATTGTGGTGGCATGTGAACAATGATTTAAAGTAGGAGGAAATTAGAGACTGGAAGACAAGCTAAGAGAGGGAACTGTAATTATCTGGGCAGCAGTTTTGGGGGATCATCCAGCAGAGAATGTAGAATTTAAAGTAAATTCCTCTAGTATTGCTATTCGGAATAGAAAACTACATTTACAATGATTTAATACAATATACATTAATACCAAAAGTATAGTAAGACCTTAGATGTAAAATGTTTACGTGTTCTTGGAGTTCCTTTTCTATGCTTGATGATCAATTGATGTATTAATTTTAGTTTTTCTAACCTAAATGTATTTGAGGGCGCTAATTTTGAAAGCAATATAAATATGTCGATTACTTTATGAGTTGCATAAAATTATATACATTAGTACAATACCAAATGTACATTTGGAGAGGGAATACAGATTCTATTAGTAATTTAATCATTCATTTATGTTTTTCATTAAACATTTAAGTTCCTACTGTTTTAGGACCAGGAGATATAGCAGTGAATAAAATGTACAAAGTCCTTAACTTATGAAGCTTAAATTCTAGGACTAGAAATAAAAATAAGGACAAATAAATATGCTACACAAAATCAGGTCATGGCAAGTCCTATAAAGAAAAATAGAGCAAGGTAAAGAGAGGGAACAAAAGGCATGGAGAGGTTGGCTCTACTTAAGAGAGGATTTAGAGAGGGAAAGCCTTTCAACTACAGGAACATTTAAAAATAGAGTTGAATGAAATAAGCAGTTGAATCCTGTGATGACTCTCTGGAGAAAACACATTTCCATATTAAAGGATCAGCAAGTACAAAGGTCCTGAGGCAGGACCTCTCTGGCACTTGACTCCCAATGAGCCTGGATCTGACTAGAAGTGAAGGCATGGAGAGCCTATGATTAGCGCATGCAATATTAATTTTGATTACAAAGTTACTTTAAACTGGATTAGCTTTATCTCCAGTGAAACACTTTTCAGAGACCACAGACAAATCTTTTGGACTACATCTAAACATTTTTTGGAAGGATTAATATTTCTATAATTTTGAAGCCATGTGAAAATTAAGATGAGTCTATTCTCATTTAGTGATCATGCCAGCCTTAGAAAGACTGAAACTGATTAAGTAAATGAAAGTTTGTCACACTTAAGGTGTAACTACTACAGATGAAAACAGAAGCCACTACAAACCTAGCAAACTAAGTAGATTTCTAAAGTTTTCAGCAAGTGAAAACATAAATGTCATCTCATCATTGACAAATTCCCTAATCCCATTTTGTTAATACACACACACACACACACACACTCTGCCACTACTCCTTCTGTGCCCCAATACGGCTTTTTTCAAACTACTATTATATCAAGGGCTGTGATTATGTCTTTGCAATATTTTCAGTGTCTCACCCCTGAAAGATGCATAACAACAATTGGTTAAATATAACTAAATAGTATTCCCTGTGATGACTCTCCAAAATATACGAGTTTCTGTACCACTTTTGCTATTTCAGAGGTTGACTATTTTAATGCTAGAGCCAGAGACACAGTAATCCAAGTGACATGCTCAAACTAAAAGCACTGATCAAGAATGAGAGGATTTTGTTTTATCTTTGAGGTTTATACATTATTCTTCTCAAGGATGGGCTCAACATCTAAGTATCTTACATGTTAAATGAAACCATTCCAAGTCAAAAAGATAAAAATACCAATATATTTATATAGAGCACTAGGAGGTCCTAACTAAGCCAGTGATTTTGATACTCTGACTATGCCATAGCCAATTCAAGGAGTAATAGAAGGAAACACCTGAAACCGGTACAGAAGAAGATAGAACTAGAAGAATGGGCTGTCAATGCCTAACTGATGAGGGCATTGGTTGGCCATTCATAATTTGAAATGGTAAATCACTAGCTATTTCCTAAAGCAGATACTGCTGTAAAAGTTTCTGATTTCTCCCTGAGGTCATTTAAACAGGTCTTTGCTTCATTTTTGAATGCCGTTATTAATTCATGACATATTCTACTATATGCACTTACATCCCACAAGATGAATCTCCTTTGGAGGGCCTATTGGCCCAACTACTAATATAAGTCATTGTTAGTAGAATTCTACATCTCCCTTTCCTAACCTTTTCTTTCTACGTTTACAAGGGGGAACAGCAATTGAATTAAAATAAACATCATTTAAAAATCAGCAATAGCATGAGTTACAATAACTAGTCTTTACTCTGTACTATATGAAGTATTTAACATACATTAACCCATTTATTATTAACCACATTGCACAAATGAGGAAACTGACGAACTAATTGCTTGTGTAAAGTTTTTAAGGTCACACATCTGGTAGGTAGCAGAGCTAGGATTCAAAGACAGTGCAGCTCAAGAGCCTATGCTCTTTACTCTTACATAGAGGTAGACGTTTTAAAGGGACAAAAATATTCTGAGTTGATCATTTCTCCCTATGTAAGTGAACTAATATATCACTCCCTAATCAATCCCTGTATCCTAAAGAGTTAATATAGGATGTAATATAGGATGATCTAAGAACTCGGATACAACAGACTCCCCCCTATATCAAGCAAGAGTCCCTTATGCCAAGCATAATTACCCGTGATGGCTAACATAAAATCGTTTGGGGAAAATAAACATATCAAATTGTTTAAGCTCAAGTAGATTTACAGAAACTCGGGCAAACTCATGTGTTCCAAGATAACACCACAGACTGTCACAGCAACTCATCTGGTAAGCTAATTCTGACCAATCTGTCGAGAGCATACTTAGAACCATCCAGCTCAGCGTGTAAAACTCTTAAGTATCCTTCCGTCATGCTCCTCTTCTGAGAGGCTATGACTATTCCCTGAAGGTGGTGCTTACCCTTTCCCTGTAAATTTAACAAGCTCAGCTTTGGGTGATCAACACCTTTGACTGGAGGACATTACAGGTGTTTCTATGGTATTCATTCATAAACTAAAAGTAGAGCTGACTGAAAGCCTGGTATTTATAGCTAGCGAGAGAAATGTCCAATTATTAGATGAGGTTCATTTTCGTTAATTATTTTAGTTATTATGACTACATAATAGTTGTACATTTGGGGTGCATGGGATATTTTGATACATGAATACAACATGTAATGATAAATCAGGGAAATTAGGGCATCCATCACCTCAAGCATTTATCATTTATGTTAGCTAAATTCCAATTTAACTATTATTTTGAAATATAAATTATTGGTAACTATAATCACTCTAGGGTGCTACCAAACACTAGATCTGATTCCTTCTATCTAACTATATACTTTTTATTTTTTTTTTTTTTTTTACCTATTTACCACTCCCTCCTTATCCTGTCCTCCCCACTTACCCTTCTCAGCATCTGGTAACCATCATCCCACTCTCTATCTCCATGAGTTCAATTTACTTTAGCTCCCACATATGAGTGAGAACTTGCAATATTTGTGTCTCTGTGCCTGGTTGATTTCACTTAACAATGTCCTCCAGTTTTATTTTCTATTATTTTTCTTTCTCTCGCTCTCCTTTTTTAAAGCTCCTCTGGAGTGCTCTTTCTTAGTTTTCAATACTATATTTTCTGAACATGTTTTTTAAAATCTACATCTGGCATCTGATCTATTCCTACAACCTATCCATATTCTGTCTGACCTATATTTTTATTTATACTTTAATTCCATTTGAATTTCTGCTCTGGGCTTTAGTTTACACTTGCAATGTGTGATATCTGATATCTGGCCCATCCTGGAACAGAAGAAATATATCATTACCAATGGAAAAACACATTAAATGATAGGAACATAGGAAAGTCGGTTTAAGATAAATGGGCCCCTAGAAAGATACACTCGCACAACAGTATGTACATTATATAAAGATGTTAAGATTAGGGATGTCTGAAATTCCTTAGGAGAAATGGCCTGCTAAAGGGCAAGGGTTCCACGATTGTAATATAAGAGAGTTATTCAATTTTACTAAAAATAAGTTAAAATATTTTTAATAACGTAATCAACATTTACCAAGTACCCCTTCTTTCAAGTAATGGGACTAAGACCGGAGGGAAAGAAACAATTCGTAAGATGCAACTTCTCCATTAAAGCTGTTTAAGTCCACAGTCAATTACACTGAAACACTGATTCCAAGAGCATCTTAAGTTAATCTGGATTTATTCTTTCTAGGTAGTTCTATCACTTAGTATACTTATGTATTAGTCCATTTTCACACTGCCATAAGGAATACCTGAGACTGGGTAATTTAGAAAGAAAGAGGTTTAATTGATTCACAGTTCCGCATGGCTGGGGAAGCCTCAGGAAAGTTAAAATCATGGTGAAAGGCAAAGGGGAAGCAAGCACTCTCTTCACTAGGTGGCAGGAGGGGGCAGGGAACAGCCAGACACTTAAACCATCAGAACTTGTGAGAACTATCATGAGTGCAGCATAGGGGAACCACCCATCCCCCATCCCCCAAATGATCCAATATCCCACCAGTTCCCTCCCTTGACACGTGGGGATTACAATTTGAGACAAAATTTGGGTGGGTACACATAGCCAAACCATATCATTCTGCTCCCGGCCCCTCCCAAGCCTCATGTCATCACATTTCAAAACACAGTCATGCCTTCCCAACAGTCTCGCAAAGTCTTAACTCATTTCGGCATTAAGTCAAAATTCCAAGTCCAAAGTTTCATCTGAGACAAGGCAAGTTCTCTCTGCCTACAAGCCTGTAAAACCAAAAGCAAGCTAGTTACTTCCAAGGTACAATGCAGGTATAAGTATTGGGTAAATGTTTCCATTCTAAATGGGGGAAACTGGTCAAAGCAAAGTAGACACAGGTCCCACGCAAGTTTGAAATGCAGCCAGGCAATCGTTAAATCTTAAAGCTCCCAAATCTGCCTTGACTCCATGTCTCATATCCAGGGCAGGCTGATGCAAGGGGTGGGCTCCCATGACCTTGGACAGCTCCACGCCTGTGGCTCTGCAGAGCACAGCCCCCATGGCTTTCACAGTGCCTGCAGCTTTTCTAAGTGCATGGTGCAAGTTGTCAGTGGATCTACCATTCTGGGGTCTAGATGGTGGGCCTCTTCTCATGGCTCCACTAGGCAGTGCCCCAGTGAGGACTCTGTGGTGGGGGGAAGGGCTCCAACCCCACATTTCCCCCCTGCATTGCCCTAGTAGAGGTTCTCCATGAGGACTCCGCCCCTGCAGCAGACTTCTACCTGAACATCCAGGTGTTTCCATACATCCTCTAGACATCTAGGCAGAGGTTCCCAAACCTCATTTCTTGCCTTCTGCACAGCCGTAGGCAGAACACCACATGGAAGCTGCCAAGGCTTGGGGCTTGCACCCTCTGAAGCAATGGTGCAAGATGTACCTTGGCCCCTTTTAGCCAAGGCTGGAGCTGAAGCAGCTAGGACACAGGAAGCCAGGTCCCAAGGCTGCACAGAGCAGTGGGGCCTTGGGCCTGGCCCACCAAACCATTTTTCCCTTCTAGGCCTCTGGGCCTGTGATGGAAGGGGCTGGCACAAAGGTCTCTGACATACCCTGAAGACGTTTTCCCCATTGTCTTGGCTACTAACATTCTGCTTCTCTTTACTTATGCAAATTTCTGCAGCAGGCTTGACTTACTCCCTAGAAAATGGGTTTTTCTTTTCTGCCGCATGGACAGGCTGCAAATTTTCCAAACTTTTATGCTCTGCTTTCCTTTTAAAGAAAAGTTCCCATTTCAGATAATCTCTCTGTGAACGCATATAACCGTATGTTTTCAGAAAAAGTCAAGTCACATCTTGAATGCCTTGCTGCTTACAGATTTCTGCCAGATACCCTAAATCATCTCTCAAGTTCAAAGTTCCACAGATGTCTAGGGAAGGGGCAAAATGCCACCAATCTCTTTGCTAAAGCATAGCAAGAGTCACTTTTACTCCAGTTCCCAACAAGTTCCTCATCTCCATCTGAGACTATCTCAGCCTGGACTTCATTGTCCGTATCACTATCAACATTGTGGTCAAAGCCATTCAACAAGTCTCTGGGAAATTCCAAACTCTCCCTCATCTTTCTGTCTTCTTCTGACCCCCCCCCCAAATTGTTCCAACCTCTGCCAGTTACCCAGTTCCAAAGTCACTTCTATAATTGCTATATTTATAGCAATGCCCCACTATCTGGGCACCAATTTTCTGTTTTAGTCTGTTTTCACACTGTTATAAAGAGTACCTGTGGTTGGGTAATTTATAAGTAAAAGAGGATTAATAGACTCACAGTTCTACATGGGTGGGGAGGCCCCCAGGAAACTTACAATCATGGTGGAAGGTGAAGGGGAAGCAAGTACCTTCTTCACAGGGCAGTGGGGTCGGGGGGAAGGCTGTCAAATACTTTTAAACCATCAGATCACATGAGCATTCACACACTATCACAAGAAGAGCATGGGGACAACCGCCTCCCTGATCCAATCACCTCCCACCAGGACCCTCCCTCTACACGTGGGGATTACAATTTGAGATGAGACTTGGGTAGGGGACACAGAGCCAAATTATATCAACTTATTAATGCAGAATAAATTGTTTCCAATACAATGAGAAATTTTCCCTAAGTTTTTCTATTTGTGACACCTCAAAACTAAACCACTGATGTTCTCAAATGCTTAATTAATTAAACAAACTCATCCAACCAAAAATATGCTTGTGCATGAAAGCTGATGTTTTATGGTTACAAAAAGTAAAACAAAATAGTATGAAATAAGGAAAACATACTGCATTCTATGCACTGATAAAATGAATGAAGCTAAATGGGTCATAAAAAAGTATATCCAGTTTTATAGGGCGTGAGGCCTATATAGCAGCATAAATTTGTCTTTTTTTTTTGTTTTTACAGTAATTAAGAGTATGCAACACGCTCCACAATTATCTGAGTAATTAGATTTTCTCAATTAAAAACGAGCACTGATAAGATTAGCTGGATTTCTAGGTCACTTTGTTTCGCAGCATTATCAATTTATCCAGGTCAGAATCTTACATCTAGGGATACAGACTGGACTGGAAGTTCCTAGTTTTTAAGTTTGGTTTCTGGTTGGGGGGGGAATCCTACCAAGCTAGGAAATTAATGGGAGGATGCAATTGAAATAACTAGGATAGTACTTAATGTGTTGTAAATAATAATGGCAGTTATTACTTTGTAAAAACATATTTTAAGCAAGTATGGAATTTCTCAGAAAACTTAACCTCAAAGCAAAAATTTTAAGATTGTTTATGGTAAGAATTTAATATCATTTTCCATGTATTCTCATTCTTACTGTTATTATTTCAGTCATTGGGGAAAGTTATGCTTCCTTCAGATGGGGTGATTAGAATAAACAAGAATAAGACCTCTGAATTCAGGACTTCGCAGTTTTCCAAAAGAAATCGGTATTTTTTAAACTTTTAACAGATTACTCCTTTCTATTGAGCAAATCTTTACCTTTCCAATTGGTATTTAGACATGTAAATTTAAAACAAAGACATTCTTCTGCAAGGAAATTTCAGATGCTTCCATAAGCATTTGAAACAGCCCAACTGTTTTTGCATACTTAAGGAAAGAGCTATCTTAAGGATGGCAACAGTTACTGTGTAAAAATTTTAGAAATCCTTTTAAGTATCAAGTATACATTCTTATGCCCTGTGCACATCGCTGCTCAATTTTGGATGTCCAGCAGTGTGCGCACGTCCATGTGTGCATGCACATAATTATATACCCATGCACATGAGCACATTCATTTAACCATACAAGAAGCAATCCCAGCAAGAATTCTAAAAAACTGATATATGTCTGAATATTACTGGAAAAGAGACTGTAGGTGAGACCTGGGCTTCATATGGTTCAACATAGATTTGTCAGTTGATGCTGTTAATTAAAAATAATACAGAATATATAGGACAAAGTATTGTGTGTTGATGTAATTGTCCCATGACTGTGCCAGGTAAGAAGCGTAGAGGATAATATTCCCTGAAAACAGTAGGGATTTCTACTGCTAAACATCTTTTAAAATGTCAGATCCTCGCAAAAAAAAAAAAAAAAAATATGGACTTTCGTCTAGGGTGAGGGAAAAAGTTTTTCCCTTCGTGCCTTTTGTGATTCAAGTCCCGAACCCTATAGAAATGAGCACTGCTGGACTTCTACCATTGAGGGCAGTTTGTCAGGCCCCAAAGCTGAACAGCCAAGTACAACAGACCAGAGCTAAGAAACTGAACAGAAAAAAAACTACAGAGAGTGCAGTAGTATTCAATTACTGTTGTAACATATTCCCAAAATCTTAATGGCTTAAAACAAGACAAATGTTTTATCTTACAGCTGAGTAGGTTAGACATCTGACATGAGTCTTATTAGACTAAACTCAAGCAACAGCAGGGCTTTGTTCCTTTCTGGAAATTCTAGAAGAGATCATGTTTCTTTCCCTTTTCTAGCTTTTATAGACCTCCAATATTCCTTAACCCCTGGTCTTCCTCCATTCTTCAAAGCGAACAACAGTAGGTATAGTCTTTCTCAAATTATATCACTCAGGCCTACTCTTGTGCCTCTTTCATTTTTAAGCATTCCGGTGACTACATAGTGTGCACTCAGGTAATCCAGGTTAATCTCCCTCCCTATTTTAAGATCAGCTAATTAACAACCTTAATTCCCCTGTGTCATGTATCATGTACTATACTCACAGGTTCTAGGGATTTCGACATGAGTATCCTTGGGGAGCCAGCATCCAACTACCAAAGGAGAGTTTAAATATGCAGGTTTAAACAAAAAAGTCGTATCATATTGAGTATCCAGATTTCACTTTGTCTCCGATATACTCTAATTCTGGTATTCCCAAGTATTAAATATCTTGGGCACCAATTATTTTTGTAAACTGGTGCCTGTAATAAATTTGACTAAATTAAGCTGATTATTTAAGCTAATTGTTCATGTATGAATTATTTCATCATTCCACTGATAGGTGGCACAGTAGCTCACACAATTCCAAGAGATTTAGTTTCAAATGAAAGTCGTCCTATTCATCCCCTTTATTATTGATTTTACTGCACACACACAGAGAGTCATTACTAGATGGGAACTGATAACAATGTTGCTCGGACACACAATGACACCTAATATTTATATTAATATGCTAGCACATTTTTTCTGTTCCTATTTTTTGATAGCTGCAAATTAGTCTTTTGTCGCACATTCCCTTTTTCATGAGGTTTTTAAAATGTTTAATAAATCATCTACATATTTAATTTTTACCACTAGCATTTAGACATTTTTAAAGTTATCTTTTGAAACTAAATTATTTTTAGATTTTACAGATGTTCCCCCTTCCTGTGTCCATGTGTTCTCATTGTTCAATTCCCACCTATGAGTGAGAACATGCGGTGTTTGGTTTTTTATCCTTGCGATAGTTTGCTGAGAATGATGGTTTCCAGCTTCATCCATGTCCCTACAAAGGACATGAACTCATCCTTTTTTATGGCTGCATACGGCCTGTGGTGGGGTGGGGTGGGGTGGGGTGGGGGTATGGGGGAGGGATAGCATTAGGAGATATACCTAATGTTAAATGACGAGCTAATGGGTGCAGCACACCAACATGGCACATGTATACATATGTAACAAACCTGCACGTTATGCACATGTACCCTAAAAGTATAATAAAAAAATCAAAAAAAGAAAAATTTTAAAGATTACTATTCAAGATATTCTTGGGAAAATATTTAAATTATAATAATCCCAATTTAAATTATACTTTAATTATGTGGTCATTTTATATTTTAACTTGTCATGTATCTTCTCCCATACAAGCCTGATATAAATTTTACATAGAAATCATGATCTGTGTATCCATATACTTCTCCCCTCATAGTACACACACTTACCCGATATGTAGTGTGTATTGCTTTAGCATACTCAATAAAATCCATTGAGACAAAATATGCCTTATGTTTCTAATTGTAACAGTCAATTTTTACCATATAAATTACCAAGAGGATTTTTCTAAAATTATACGATGAATGTAGCAATTACACAATCTCTCTACAACTTTTGTACCATACATGGAATTCTATACTAGAAGCCGACATTCTTATGCCCGACAGAACTATTTAGTTCATTTTATGAGACGTGCTATTGAGTTTTAGATAAAGTTTGAAATTTTATAACAGCTTATTCTGTAAGAATGCATACAATTATCAATTACCTTGGGAATAAATTGTTTTACATATTTCTGAGAACCTTCTGCAGCTTCTTGTATATCAAACCACAGGTATATGTTTTAGCATAGTTAATATTTTTTGAAATTACCTTCACCACTGTTATTTTATTTAAATAAAGGTAATCAGGAAGGCCTTTCTTCAGCTTAGACAACAAAGTAGCCAGTAAGATCAAGGAAAATATTAGGTAAAACCCAAATACAACTTCAATACTTGGATACTGACCATTTCATTGCTTGTTAATGTTAATTCCTTGGATTAATCAGTTAATTTAATCTATCAGCTTGATAACGTATCTGATCAGAACTTTAAAATCCTAACTGGTCTTCACACATATTAATGACCCTCACACTTTCATGTAATATGCTAATGTAAAAGCCGTGTCTTCAAGAAACATTTGTTGTACATTAAAAAACAGGCACTCGCACTTTCAGAGGCCGAGGCGGGCAGATCACGAGGTCAGGAGATCGAGACCATCCTGGCTAACACAGTGAAACCCCGTCTCTACTAAAAATAAAAAAAAAATAAAAAAAAATAAAAAATAAAAAAATTAGCCGGGCATGGTGGCAGGCGCCTGTAGTCCCAGCTACTCGGGAGGCTGAGGCAGGAGAATAGCGTGAACCCGGGAGGCGGAGCTTGCAGTGAGCCGAGATCGCGCCACTGCACTCCAGCCTGGGCGACGGAGCGAGCCTCTGTCTCAAAAAAAGAAAAAAAAAAAAAAAAAAGGCACTCTTATGCTCTGGGAATTCAGCTGTGAATAATAAAGGTCCCAGCACATGAGGAAGTCACCACCAATAACAGGACTGAACAAGTCTACAACTACCTACAGCATTGTGATAGGCCAGCAGTACTATGGTGGGAACAAACTCCACTGGAACATTAAGTGAGAATTATTTTTTGAAGGTTAGGAATTTTACGTTGGATTAAATATCAATGATACAATCAAAGTGAAACATGAGAAGGACTCATACTGTTGTTTACTCTGTTAATATTGTACTAAACAGTATTGAATAAAACAAAATCAACGAAACATTTGAAAAACAGAAGACATTGTATCTTTAAACTAGTGATGTCATTTTCTTGCATTCTCATATATAACTCAATATACCGGGAACACTGTAGATTCTAAATAAGTATTATGTAATTAAGTAAATAAATTCTCCCTTGCCTCTACTCCAGTAATCCCTCTTCCCTTGCTGCTGCTTGTGAATGTGTCAGCCTCTCTCCTGCAACCAAATTTCTACCCCAGACATACTACATTCGTCTTATTCCATCTCTCCATGTATTGACAAGATGGGCACATGAGTACGTGCACACACATACATCCGCATACTAAGGCAAAGTAGCTTACTTTACCTATCTCAGAGAGAAAACTAGCCTAAACATAAGGAAGAATGCTCACTAAAGATTTTAAGATACAGATAAAGAACATTTGAGTCACCTTTAAGAGACATAAATTACATGTTCACTCCACTTTCTCTCTATTTCCCCAAATATATGGTATTCTCCTCAAACTAAGATAGCAAGATATCTCAGTTGATATCTTAATACACTCAGTATTCATGTAGGCTCCCAGGTAAGAAAAAAATTATTATTGTTGCTTGTCTAATCCTAGTTGCATTTAAATATGAAATAGTAACATGGTAATTTTTTAGAATAAAAACCAATTTTGAATACAATCTAATGAAAACTTTGAAAAATGTTCATTTCCAAAGATAAATTAAAGACAGATAATTTCACAGATCATGCTCTCCCTTAACATTAAAAAGGTTCTTTTCTCATATATGTATTAAATATTATCATTAAAAATCACTAGAATATCAAAAAAACAGCCTACAGACTTGGTGTGTATAGTATGTGATAACATAAGCACAAAACAAAACAAAAAACTAAGAATAGTTTCAATATGTATGCAGTAACAGAGACACATGCTATTCTGAGAAGGGTTAAATCAACAAAGGACATAATCTTTCTGGGGTTCAGCTGTGAAATGCAGAGTGGAAGAACAACATCCCAGGGAGTTGGAACAGCAAGTGCTAAGGCCTTAAACTATGTAAATATCATGCTAGATGATTGTGTGTAAAAGAGAATTAAGTTAAATCCAGAAAGAAAATAGGGCCAGTCATTGTCAAGTTCTTCCTGCAGTCACAGAAAAAGATGAGAATAACTTGAACTATGGTGGTGGTTGTACAGGTGGAGAGGTATGAATGATTTAGTGATATACAGTGGGCCCTCCGTATCTGCGGGTTCTGTATCTGCAAATTCAAATAACCTCTGATTTGATACAATAGGGTGAATATAGTCAATAATTGTGCATTTGAAAATAACTTCAAGAGTGTAATTAGTTTATAACTCAAAGGATAAATGCTTGAGGTGACATGCTATTCTCATGACGTGCTTATTCCATATTGTATGCCTCTATCAAAACATCTCACGTACCATATATATATACACACACACGTATATATATACATATACACATATATATCATATATACACAAACACCCCATGTACCCACAAAAATTATATACACACACACATACACACACACATATATATACCTATATGGTGTGTGTATATATACACACACACGTATATATACATATATGGTGTGTTTATATATATACACACACATATACATATATGGTGTATATATACACACACATATACATATATGGTGTATATATACACACACACCATATGTATATACATATATGTATATATATATACCATATATATAGATATATGGCATATACACACATATATACCATATATGTATACATATACACATATGTGTATATACGTGTATACGTATATACACATATGTGTATATACGTATATACACATATATGGTATATATACACCATATATACACACATATATGTACACATATATGGTATATATATACACACATATATATACACATATATGGTATATATATACACACATATATATACACATATATACCATATATATACACACACACCCCTAGTATGTACCCACAAAAATTTCCAAAAAAAATAAATTGTTTCCCAAATAAAAAAATATTCAGGAAATACAATAAAAATTAACAGGATAGAAATCTCCCTGTTGGGTACTATGCTTATTACCTGGGTGACAAAGTAATCTGTACTCAGAGCCCCTGTAACACATAATTTATCTATATAACAAAAATGCATGTGTAACCCTGAACCTAGAAATTAAACACAAAGAATAAAATGTAACAACTATTTACGTACTATTTATATTGTATTAGGTATTATAAGTAATCTAGAGATAATTTAATGTAAACAGGAGGATGTGCATAGGTTATATGCAAATATGACATCATTTATATAAGGAACTTAAGCATCCACAGATTTTAGTATCTGGAGTTCCTAGAACCAGTTCTCAGATAGTGAGGCACAGTCGTATTCTTAAAGTATAATCTATAAGGCATCATGGATTGAAATAGTTCTAATACTTCACTTTTTTCATACTTAAAGCTGCTTAAATGACCAACTTAAAAGATAGATTTATTATTACAGAGATTTCCCGATCCAAGCTATTAATGTCAGTGCAGACATGGTTGATTCATGGAGCGGGGGTGGGGGGGGGAAATACACACCTGGAACTCATCTGTGTGTTTAGAGGACAAATTAAATCATTTTTAAATAGCCCCAGGATGATCTCAGCCATTAAAGAGCAGAAGGCTAATAAAACAACTGTTCCTATTAAATCGTTTTCTGAGTTTTATAAGTAGATGTCCTCCCTTATGTATTTTATTGGCAATATATGTTACCTTTATAGAGAAGCAGCGTTTCTATAGCTCTCAAAAAGGTTAAGAACCCGAGGTGTATTATAGGCCAATTTCTCTTGTAAATGTTGACTTAAAATAGTTTAAAGAGCATTTTCTCATGTTGGAGGTGATTAATTGCACTGAGTTTCACTTGTAAAAATCCATTGCTCAAACCTAAGGATGGTGGGGGGACACCCATCTGTGCAAACGTGTGGACTTACAATGACTTTTGCTTATGTTAGCTCAGGTGTCAGTTCTAATGAACAACTTTCAACAAGAGAAAATAAATCCAGAACTTTTTATTAGAAATCACACATGTTAAACAGAAATCATTAACTAAACCTTACTCAAAATAGTGGTGGACTTTATCACTTAAGAAATCAATTAACTTCCAAGGAACTATAGAAAAAGTTAGGTTCCCGCTCCAAAATCATCTTATCGATTTATGCATTTATGTCCAACTAATAAAATTAGGGAAGCAGAGTAAGAACTACTGTATGGATCCGTGGATTTTGGTATATTTAAAATCCCATATAAGAATTATGATGCAGCCACATTTTCATTTGACATAAATATTTGTACATTTATTAGAATGAAAAACATGCTCTGTACTTTAAAAAATATTCTCTGAATTAGTTCACATTCTGTCTTATATAACAGTTACCTATATATTGTTTGTTGGCCTATATGCAATTTTCAATACCTTGGCAGACTGTATATCTTTTACTTCCTGACACACTTGGAGTATATAGCACTATTCCTTATGTAAAGTTATCAATAGACATTTGATGAATTAACATGCATTTCTACTGAACAAAGTAAGCCTGGGGCACATAACTTTAAAATGCTTATGTAGCATCTGAAAGAATTTACAATGTCAGACTAAGAATAAAAAGTAGGGGCTCCAGAATTTCTACTTTATTAATGATGTGGTCAAATCAACCCATTGGAAAAAATCTTAGTCTACTCAGCCACCTGCACAAATGCTCGTGCTCTATAAAAGCATTAAAAAAAAAAAACCTTTTAGACTAGTCTATATGTACTCTGCAGAGTAAAAGACACATTAGCTAAAACAATAGTGCTCATAATATTAATGTATTTGGCTTGTGTAAGTAACAATATTTAAGCTCTGACAATAATTCTAATTTTAAACATTTTCATTCCATCTGCAAGATTAAAGTTTGAATTATTATGATTATTCAATGCCTCTTGATCAATCTGAGGAAAGATTTCTTTCAATAAGAACATTCCTTCAAGCACTACCTTTGCTATGTTCTTCACTAGTCTATGTTAAGATTAACGTGAAGAAGGCTAGGTAAGGAGTATTATCATTTCTATTATAATGATTTTGCTTAAAATGTACATTTCTGTTTATGATGAATGCAAAGATATTATCATTTAATGGAAAATTTATGTAAGACAGATCTCGCTACAACTAGCTTTAGCAGTTTTACTTAGGTTATAACAATTTAAAAATTTCTCATCTTATAGTCCCTTAATATTCCATATTTTTTAACTTTTTTCGTATTTCACATGCAGTTTGTTGGTGAAAGCAAAATTCGAGATATAATAGAGAGAAAAAAATACATTATTTATTTTTATCCAGGAGCTTATGTCTCATTTTTATATCGTTGTTATATTTTGCAATGGGTGAAATTTGTCTTTCTCTTCAGTCTTTTAAAACCTAGTTACTTCACCAGGTTTTTTCCAAATACTCAAATGCCCAATCGTTATTTTTCTATACTAGTTTTTTCCCCACTTCTGGCTGTCTCTTTTCAGAGTCCCTTTGATTAACAACTACAACAATATCATAGTCTGCTGTTTAACTACAGTGAGGTGAATTTATTAAGGGCTTCACCATGTACTCTTGCCTCTTGAGGAGGAATAAGAGTGTGTGTGTGTGTGTGTGTGTGTGTGTGTGTGTGTATTCCAATTATTAATAAAAACAGTTTTCAAATCACTTTTCCAAGAGACTCACTTGCCCAACTGATTCTATACAGAAAAACTTAGATATTAAAGCCTAGGTAAAATGTATCTTTTTATTTAGACTTTCTCAGATAATAGCTTTTTTTTTTAATCCACATATGACTCAAGGTGGGATTTCAATCTAGATAAGAGATGTTCACATCACGACCTCACTGAGGAAATATTTGAGATAGTGAGATGTTTTGATGCCTTTGCCATCTAATTTTAGAGTTAACTGAGAAAGAGTAGAGGGGAATATTTTCATAACTGGTGAGTGTCTCCCTTTGATAACTTTAGTGTGGCTTGGATAGAATGTCATACTTGCAAGATTTGTAAACATCCTTCTACTTTAATTATTTAATGATTCTCTCAAGGAAACATCATAGTAAAAAGAATTCAGTATCCCTCTTATTCTGGCTCTAGTTTATAAAACTTTTCCATTTATTTTCAAAACATTTGGAATCAACTGATGGATGTGCATCCAATTAAAAACAAACCCAATTAGCCCTGTAATAAAATGAGTAACCTTTTAGTTAATGCAAAGAAAATATTCATGGAAGAAGAGAGGAATATTCTGCCATAAGATTATATTCTGTAGTAGTTACAAGTAGGGAATCTTAACTCCAACTCACTAGCTGAGTGATGTGGGCAATTTACATAAACTCTTCAGTTGCAAATGACCAAAATAATAGTCTCTACCTCCTAGAGTTTTTGCAGAAATAAAACGAAATTATACAATATCAAGCAATGTGCCCAGCACTTAATGTTTAATAAATATCACACCAGATTACATCAATATTACTATGTATGTATTACTCCCAGCTTCAGAAGTTGAGTTTTTCTGAGAGTCTGGGAACCAATTCAACCACTTTTACGATGTCATATGACGTAATGACTACAAGAGAAAACCTAGTTATACTTTTGCAAGTGTGCTAACTAATGTCTTACAAATACTATGACAATTATAAGGTACTATCATGAACCAGCCTTCAGGAGACTTGCTAGAAATCTACCATGTATCCATGACAACTGTGAATCAATCTCTCTGTCAAGTGTGTGTGTGTGTGTGTGTGTGTGTGTGTGTGTGAGAGAGAGAGAGAGAGAGAGAGAGAAAGAGAGAGAGAACCACTCTGAGGAATTTAAGATATAGTATAAATCTTTTATGAAAACTAGATTAGACTCTGGAGCTCAAGGATATCAAAGATTACCACCCAGTACACCAGCTGTGAGCCAGCAGTATTCCTCAGACCAGAAAACCAGAATGAGTGGGAAGGTCACAGGAAGACCAGCAAGATTTCAAATGGGAAATGACAGTAGATCCCCCTTTTCCACGGGGGATATGTTCCAAGACCTACAGCAGATGTCTGAAACCACAAATAGGCCCTATATATACTGTTTTTCCCATACATATACATACCTATGATAAAATTTAACTTATAAATTAGGCACAGAAAAAGATTAATAACTAATAGAACAATTATAGCAATATGCAGTAATAAAAGTTACGTGAATGTGGACTCTCACCTCTCCCTGCCCACCCTCCCCACCATCATCTAATTGTACTGTACTCATCAATTTAAGGACCACGGTTGACCATGGGTAGCAGAAACTGTAATGAATAAGGGAGGACTCCTGTATTTAATTTGGGGAGAGTCAGCATTTATTCTAGAGGCAGGCAAAATAACTGGAAAGATCAGTTTTCCCTACAGGAGTATAAAGGGACCATTTAATTTTTACAACATTCCAGTTATTTGACATAACTTTAGCTACTGTTTCTGGGCTCATATTACGGGCCAAATACATACAGGTTTTACTTACTCCTTGAAGTAGCAGTGGGAGGTAAATATTTTTACTTTACACGTGAGCAATACTGAGCCTCAATAATTTTCCAGTGGCCTAAAACTAATAAAGGCAAAAATCAGATTTTAACCCAAAACTAGTTGGCTCTGTGTAGAAAAAGTTAAATCAACCCTAGGTTAATCTGATGCTGCCTAGGAAAATGAACATAGAAACTTATTTTCTTAGGATTAAGAGTTAAGATAATAGTAGAATTTCTTGTCACTCTTGTTTGCTAGGTAGGACTACTATTAAATTAACTGGGGAGTGGGGCAGAGAGGCAATATATAGTCTTTTGTCCTATGTGACAACAATGGTATTAAATATTGGTGGGAAATTAATGCTGCAATTTCTTCATGTCAAGTAAACCACACTGATTTTGGCCGTTGTCCTAGCAGCTATATGGAGCACATTTGGGTGAGAGGCATGTGGAAATCTGTATGTTGGTTGCTTCTGGGCCATCCAATGATACAAAGATTCTATGACAGTGTATCTCCTGCCTTGTATCCTTCTGTACAGCTAAGTAAATGTCATAGATTAAATTCTATTCCATCTGTGAGTATAATTGCCAATTTTATCTCCTTACAACTACACTAACAGTGCAGGCTCCAAAGTTCATTATGTCCTGTCAGTAAAAGTTGCATATCTGGCTAAAATACAAACTGTTTAGCAAAACTAACCCTGGATAAATGGTAAATAAATTCAACCTATTTATGGCATTAATATCAGAGATCATAAAATTAAGCCATTTGCTTATTTCAAGTGGATTTATGGGATCAGACTTCTAATTTGAAAACTATTATTTTACCATCATTTTAATTGTTTTCCCTTATTAGCCCTTAGTTATTATTAAAAATTCTTCTAGTTCTTTATCAGCTCTGCCAATGAAAGACATTTTTATTGGCTGCAAAAGGCATCAACAAACCTCAGATAGCAGAACACAGTGATGTCAATTAGTAACAAGATGAGAGAGGCAGGCAAAAGAAGAAATAAATTAAAGAACAAAGAGTCAGGGATCACCTCTGCAAACAGCTCCTCTCACCTGGGCAACCCTTGCTGGAAACTGTTTGAGTCAGAGTACCATTCTATCACAAACATGTCCGTGAAGCAATAAATAGAAGAAGGAATGAAGAGAGACAACTGTGCAGACAGGAGATAAGGCAAGTTTCTTAATCCTAAAGAGAATGTTTTGATGGCCAGTCTTATGTGACAGCTAGTCTATTTTTACTTTGTCTGTGGATGAACAATTTCTCATTAACAGAACTGTTAGCAATAAGCAGTACTCCAGTAATTGAAGATGTGAACAGCAGGCTTAGTCATTTTTTAAGGAAGAAAATGCTAGAAGTCTAAACAAATGCTGGGACAACAGATTCTGGATCTTATCCTATAAAAGGGCATATCTCACAGAAACAATTGTTCCATTGTAGTTGTTTCTATCTTAGCTGCAGGATACTCTCACTTACTGAGCTTCTAAAAATTGCTGATGTCACAGCCCGTCCTCAGTGAAATAAAATACTAGTTTCAATCCCAGTGTTGCCATAAAGCTTCCCCAACCGATTTTATTGGACAGTCTTGTGAGAAATAACACGGACTTTAAGAAGAGATAAACCCTGGATTTGATTATAGCTCAGTTATCTATTGGCTGTGTGATCTTGATTTTAATAAAGCTCTCTAAGCCTCAGTTTTTCCATTTATAAAAGAAGGATAAACTTACCTGGAATTGTTGTGTACAAGACATAAGATAAAGTATGGAAATTATCTAGAACATGACTGCCCTACTTAAACATTTGCACTCTTCTACCAAAAGGAACTTGCAAATTTGAGTTTATATCACTGATGATAAATTAGAAAAATCTTTGCAGGGGAAAAATGTGCTTTGATTTGAAGCAAAAGTTTATTCAGCAATATTAACATCTCACAAGAATGATATTACAGGATATTTCCTAAAAGTAAAAACACTGGTTTCAACCACCTTATTAAATTGTAATAATATATAAAATTCCTAATAATTTAATAGTTGTAACAGTTTTCTCACTTTTCAACTGGATATCATATGATCCACTAACTCCACACGATTGCCATAAGACAAAAAATCTGGGGCTTCAAAATGGCTGAATTGATGGATCTGTTACTCACCTCTTCCATGGAGAGGAACCAAAGTACCAAGTAGATAATCATACTTTGAATACATTAACTAAGAGAAAACACTGAAATTCAACAGAGAAGCAATGAAAACCACTAAAAGGAAAAAGAAGGAAATGAGGCACTCTATCCAGCTGAGATTGGCTAGGAGTCTGGAGAGGCTCCCTAACATGGGGAGAGAATTAGAGATGCACAAAGGTACACATTCTTGTACAAGATTCCTACAATCCTAGCCAATTGAGAGCCCTTCAACCCGTGTGGGCCCCCAAACCAACACACAGCTGTCTAGATACTGTGCAAAGGCATTGCTTCACGGAAGAAGCCCATGCTGGGTTCCACAAACTCTAGAGTCCTAAGCAGCTGCAACATGGCCTGGTTTTGAGAGCCCAGCCCCCACCAGTCTATGTCCTGACCTAGGACTAAAAATCTTCCCTATCTCCACATTCCTGGAGTCTCAGTGATATTTCCCACCCATGGCTGCAACTGCTGGGGCCAAGGCAGGAACCACTGGCAGCAAACCCTCCCCTGCCCAACAGAGGGGTGGCCACTCAACTTCATGCACACTGAAGACTAATTCCACTGCCTGCAAATGCTGTCACTGTGAACTGCTGTGGAGTTGAGACACAAGCGACGCACAGGCTACCCAGGCAACTGCTTATGGCTGCTCCCAAGGAAAGCAACCTTACCCTCTCCAGTAGCAGGGCCACAGTGTAGCCAACACTGCCTTCCACCTGAGCATTGCACAAGGGACCTGGGGAGCACCTTGCCCCTCGACTACAATAACCAGTGGTTGCATGCACCACCAGGAGTCCTGAGGACAGGTCTTCCCAGCTCTGCTCTTCCAAATCCCCCAGTACATAAAAATTTGTATAGAGACCTGGGGCTCTCCCACCCCAGTTTACCACCATTGGCATCTGACTAGTCTTCCTGGGGCCTGAATTTGGGCCCACTCAAGCTTCCACTACCACCAAAGCTGGCGTCAACCTACATGCACCATCTGCAGGCCTAGGAACTGGCTTGCCCAATCTGTTGCATCCACCACCAACACCATCATGGATTGCTTGCATTCCAGAGGGTTGCCCCCCTCCCACTATTGCCATTACCCGCACCATGCTTGCTGCCCCTGGGCTGGGAACCTGTGTACCCACCCAGCCCACCTATGCTTTTCCTGACAACCAAGCAAGCCACCTATAAGCCAAAGGGTTAGCCTGCCTGGACACACTAACATCAATGCCAATGTACACAGCTCTGAGGCCTGAGGACAGGCACGCTCAACCAACTGATGCCACCACTGGGGCCTGAAGACTGGACCACTTGGTGTCCCAGTCACCGGCAAAACTTCACCACAGCTTCTGCTAACAACTGCACCCTAAGCTACTGAGGAAGTTACAGACACCATTCATACTGTTTACATCCAAAGAAATCATACAGGAAGTATACTACTATATACATTCAGAATCAAAGGCAAAGACTCAAGAGGAGACTAGATAAAACAGAAGAATCTCAGAACATGAAAACAGGTCTTTTAAAATAACCTACTCAAACAAAAAATAACAAAAAATTTTAAAAAAATGAGCAAAGCCTATGTGACATATACAACACCATAAAGCCATGAAATGCTTGCATTTTTTATGTCCTAGAAGGTAAAGGAGAAACTAAAGGTTTAGAAACCCTATTTAACAAAATAATAGATGAAATCTTCCCAAGTCTAGCAAGAGATTTAGACATCCAGATACAGGATGCTGAAAGATCTCAAAAAGGGATACAATTCAAAAATGTCTTGTCCATGACACATTATAGCCAAACTCTCAAAAGCCAAAGACAAAAAGAGAATTCTAAAAACAGCAAGAGAAAAGCACCTTGTCACTTATAAAGAAACCTCCATCAGATTAACAGTGAATTTCTCAGAAGAAACCTTACAGGCCAGAGAAGAATGAGATGTTATATTAAACTTGCTGAAAGAAAACAACCACCAGCCAAGGATACTCTACCCAGCCAAGGTAGCCTTCATAAATCAAGGAGAAATAAAATAGTTCCTAGACGAGTGAAAGCTGTGGAAATTTATCACCATGATACTGGCCTTACAAGAAAGGTTTAAGGGAGTCCTATACCTGGAAGTGAAAGAATGACAACTACCATCATGAAAACACATAAAAATATAAAAACAACTAGTAGTGCAAACACACAAAAAAAATCAAGAAAAGTTACTCAAATGTTACCACTAAAGAATACCATCACACTATAATGATAATGAGGGAAAAAAATGAAGAAAAAATATTCAAAACAACCATAAATCAATAAAATGAAAGAAATAAGCCCTCACATATCAGTAATAATGTTGAATGTAAATTGATTAAACATTCCACATAAAAGACATAAACTGGCTGAATGGATTAAAAAATATATAACCCAAAAATATTCTGCCTAAAATAAACTCATTTCACCTGTAAAGACACATATAGATTTGAAGTAAAGGGATGGAAAAGTATATTTTATGCAAACCGAAGCCAAAGGGGAGAAGCAGCAGCTATGCTTACATAAAACAGACTTTCAGTCAAAAACAGTAAAAACAAACAATAAGGTCATTATATAATGATAAAGGGATAAGTTTAGCAAGAGTATATAAAAATTCTAAACATACATACACCCAACACGAGAGCTCCCAGATATATAAAGCAAGTATTAGATCTAAAGGGAGAGCTAGATGCAAATACAGTAATATCTGAGGACTTCAACACCCCACTCTCAGCATTAGATCACTTAGACAAAAAATTAACAAAGAAACATTGGCTTGAAACTGCTCCTTAGACCAAATAGTCCTAACAGACACTTATAGGACAATTCCTTCAACAGTCATACACATTTTTTTCTCATAAGCACACAGAACATTCTCCAGGACAGACCATATGTTATGACAGAATATGTCTTAACAAATTTATAAAAAATCAAAATCATATCTAATATCTTCTTAAAACACAAGGAAATAACAAAAAGAGAAACTTTGGAACCTGTACAAAAACATGGAAATTGAACAACATACTCCTGAATGACCATTGGGTCAAGGAAGAAAATTGAGGAAATGTTTTCAAAAAATTATTGAAACAAATGAATATCAAAATATAATAACACCTACGGGATATGGCAAAAGCAGTGCTAAGGGGGATGTATATAGCAAAAATGCTCACATCAAAAATGTTGAAATATTTCAAACAATCTAACAAAGTACTTCAAGGAGCTAGTCAAAGAAAAAAAAACAAACCAAACCCAGAATTAGTAGAAGGATGAAAATCCTAAAAATTGAGCAAAACTCAAGAAAATAGAGAGCAAAAAATACAAAGTATCAATGAAATGAGAAGTTTGATTTTTAAAAAGATGAAAATAAAGCACTTGCTAGACTAACCAAGAAAAAAAAAAGACTCAAAATCATAAATGAAGACGGAGACATTACAACTGATACCATAGAAATAAAAAGTTCAGAGACTATACTGAACAACTATTAAATAATAAACTAAAAATCTAGAGGAATGTATAAATTCCCGGACACATACAACCAACCGTGGATCAAGAAGAAATAGAAAATCTGAACAGATCTATAATTAGTAATGATCTTGAATCAGTAATCTTAAAAAATTTCCCAACGAAGACAGTCCAGGACCAGATGTCTTTACTGCTGAATTCTACCAAACTTTACCAATTCTCCTGTAAGTGTTCCAAGAAAAATTGAAGAGGAAGGAATTCCCCCTATCTCATTCTATGAAGCCAGCATTACCCTGATGCCAAACCCAGACAATTATGCAACAAAAAATACAGGACAACATCCCTGATGAACACTGATGTAGAAATTCTCTACAAAATGCTAGCAATCCAATAGAACATAAAAAATGTAATATTATCAAGTGGAATTTATCCCAATGATACAAGGATACATCATACACAAATCAATAAATATGACATATTACATCAAACAGAATGAAAAACAGAAAACATGATCCTTTCAATAGACACAAAAGAACATTTCATAAAATTTAACATCCCTTCGAGATAAAAACTCCAACAAACTAGGCATACAAAAAAAATTAACAAAATAAAGACCATATATGACAAATCTACAAGTAGTATCAAACTGAATGGGGAAAAGCTGAAAAATTTCTCCCTATAAAACTGGAATGGTCAGGCGTGGTGGCTCACGCCTGTAATCCCAGCACTTTGGGAGGCAGAGGTGGGTGGATCAATAGATCAGGAGATCGAGATCATCCTGGCTAACACGGTGAAACCCCATCTCTACTAAAAATACAAAAAATTAGCCGGGCATGGTGGCAGATGCCTGTGGTCCCAGCTGCTCGGGAGGCTGAGGCAAGAGAACGGCATGAACCCTGGAGGCTGAGCTTGCAATGAGCCAAGATTGGGCCACTGTACTCCAGCCTGGGCAACAGAGCAAGACTCCATCTCAAAAACAAAAAACCAAAAACAAAAAAAAGAACAAGACAAGGATGCCCACTTTCACCACTCATTCAACATAGTACTGGAGGTCCTAGCCAGAGCAATCAAGAGAAAGAAATACAAGGCGTCCTAATAGAAGAAATCGTTGTCCAAGTACTGCTCTTTGTTAATAACTTATAGCTAGAAAAAGCTAAACCCTCACCAGAAAGCTCTCAGATCTGATAAATAAATTTAGTAAAGTTGCAGGATACAAAAATCAACATACACAATTCAGTAGCATTTCTATATACCAATAATGAACTGGCTGAGAAAGAAATCAAGAAGGCAAACCTATTTACAACGGCTGGAAATAATACCTAGGAGTAAGTTTAGCCCAGGAGGGAAAGGTCCGTATAAAATACAGAACACTGACAAAACAAATTGAAGAGTACACCAACAAATGGAAAGTCATCCCATGTTTATCGGTCAGAAGAATTAATGTTATTAACATGATCTTTCTACTCAAAGCATTCTACATTGAATAATGCAGTCCCTATCAGAATACAGAAATGGAATAAAAAGTGATCATAAAATTTGTACGATCAAAGACCAGCAGAGAGCCTGAATAGCCAAAGCAATCCTGAGCAAAAAGAACAAAGACTTATGAATCACACTACTTGACAAAACAGCAAGGTGTTAGAATAAAAACAGACATATAGAACAATGGAATAGATTAGAGAACTCAGAATTAAATCCATGTATTTACATACAACTTGTTTTTGACAAAAGCACCAAGAACATGCATTAGGGGGAAGGACACCTTCTTCAAATGGTGCTGAGAATTGGATTGTCAGATGCAGAAGTATGAAACTGGATCCCTGTCTCTCACCATATTAGAAAATTCAGCTCAAGATGGATTAAGGATTTAAAGGTAAGACCTAAAACTGAAACTACATGAAGCAAACATAGGGAAAACAGACAGGACCTTGGTCTAGGCAAAGATTTTATGGTTATGACCTCAAAAGCGCAGGCAACAAAAACATAAATAGATAATTGGGACTGTAGAAAATGAAAGAGCTTCTGTAAAACAAAGGAAGGATTCAACAGAGTGAAGAGACAACCTGCTGAATGGGAGAAAAGATTTGTAAACTATTCAGACAAGAGACTAATATCTAGGAAATACGAGGATCCCAAACAATTTAACAGTAAAAAAATAATCACATTAAAAATGGACAAAGGACAATAATAAGTATTTCTCAAAAGAAGACAAATGACCAACGGGTATATGAAAAAATGCTCAACATCACTAATCATTAGGGAAATGCAAATCAAGTCATGATGAGCCATCATCTTGCCCCAGTTAGAATGGCTATTATTAAAAAGACAAGAAAACAACAGATGTTGACGAGGTGCAACGAAAAGGGAACTCTTAATACATTGTTGTAGTTCAGAATATAAGTCAGTATAGCCACTATTGAAAACAGTATGGAGAAGATTTCTCAAAAAACTAAACATAGAAATAGAGTATGTGTCAGCAATGCCACTAATAAGTATATATGTAAAGGGAAAGCAATCATATACTTTTCTAACTATCAGGAAAAGTATATGCATGGCATACCTGTACTTGCATGCTTATTGAGGCACTATTTATAATAGCAACTTAAGTGTCCATTAGTGAACAAATGGATAAAGAAAATGTGGTACATATATACAGTGGAATACTCTTCATCCATAAAAAAGAATTACATTTTCTGCACCAACATGAATGAAACTGCAGGTTATTAAGTGAGACAATCGAGGCAAAGATAAATAGATTTTACATTTTCTTACTCATATATAGGTGTAAAAAAAGTTGTTCTCATGGAAATAGAGAGTATAATAAGATACCAGAGGCTAGGAAGGGTAGGAAGGGAATATAAAAAGGGGTTATTTAATGGGTACAAATATATAGTTGGAAGGTATATATTCTAATGTTCAACAGCAGAAAGGGGTGACTAGAGTTAGCAACAATATGATGTACATTTCAAAGTAGATGAGAGAACTCAAAATGTTCACAGAACATAAAAATGATAAATACTCAAAGTAATGAATACCCCAAATACACTGACTTGACCATTACACATTCAGTGCGTTTAACAAAATATCACATGTATGTACATATATGTAAAACGTTATGCATCAATAAAAATAAAAGTTCTAAAAAGAGAATAAATCTAAGAGGATAGCTTATTGCTTTAAAATAAAATGACAAGACAACTATAAATCTTCAGGTTTCCCTCTGCAAGGAATAAATCCTATTGTATGACAATTAAATTTCCCTCTTATAAGATTTAAATGACATCAACAAAGACTTTAGTTCATCATTATTTTACCCAAATATTGTTGTAAAATAGTATATTTTCATCTTATATTTCATGTTCCAGCTGTAAAATGTCACATGCATTTTATATATAGAAATTATTTAATTGGAAAACATATGTACCAACCTAATATCTATTTTTCCAGTGCCCAGCTTTAAGGTTTTTGGATATTCATTTGCAGGTTCTGTGATGTCTTTTTTTGTTTGTTTTTGTGGGATGGGGGGACAGGGCCTCAGTTCTTTTGCCTAGGCTTGAGAGTAGTGGCACAATCATAGCTCACCGCAGCCTTGAACTCCTGGCCTAAAGCAATTCTCCTGCCTTGGCCTCCCAATGTGCTGGGATTACAGGTGTCAGCCATCACACCCAGCCCTGTGATATCACTTATAATTATGTATAAAACACAGTTAACTCCATTTTGAAGACAGTGAAGTAAGTTTTCCAACTATCAGCAAAATATACATTACATTCAAATATTATCACTGACTTAAAACCACATAGAAAATTTTAAACTACTTATGCCATTTTATTCTCATTTACCATCATTAGAATGGTCAAAATGTTTTTGCCAAGGCAAAATTCTGTGACAAGAAACACAGATATCAACTATAGAACACTTTTCTGAATCAAACCTAATATCTCATGTATTCCTTCATAGCTGAAATAAAATTAACAAATACCAATAGATGTTTTTAATATATTTCTTTAGTCTCATGAACTCATTGTGATGATATGACTAGGAAAACCATCCACAAAGTGTCTATTACATATTATTTAGCATTAGAACCTCATGGCTGCATTTCTCATTATTAATTTATTAATGTCTTGTCAATCATTCAAAAATCACTTAATGTCACTGTATAGGCCAAGGATATTGTTATTTCACCTGTAATTAAAAAAAAAAAGTTGTGAAAATAATCCTGGTAAGCTAATTGAAAAGAGATTCTCAGTTATCTAGGTAAGAATTATATTTAAATGTTTCTGAACAAATTTGGCATAGAACCTAATCCATAATGCACATCTTCAATCGCATGATTATACTTCATTATTTAAATTCCCCAACTGAGTAAGAAACTCTTACTTAACTAAAGCATACTTTAACAAATCAGCCCCTAGGGGAGATAGAAATTATAAATTGACCATTTTCCATAAAGTTAAAATGGTGACAAATCATAGAAGAATGTGAAAGATTAGTAGAAAATACCAAAATTTGTTATAAAGGGTAAATTCAAGCCAGGCTCCCGCACACACAAATATCATATTTAATGTTTTTCAAGTCTCTGTTGTCTAAGTAGGTGAATTTGGGACAGTTACATGCAATTATTTGTCATCCAAACAACTGAAATGGATAAGGAGAACAAAAATTGCTTTCATTTATTAGTGACTGGTTCCAACTGCCCAGAAAATACTCAGTTTTTTTATGGTATCTGAACTGAGAAAGATGTACAACACATAACATCAAGAGAACACACTGGAATACTCTCATGCCTCTTCTAACTTTTAGGCCACTGGGAAATAACATTTACGTCTTAATTTTTGTCATGAAGAGCAATTTCAAGATTTCCCATCAGGGAAGAGGAAATTGCTACAATAATATCTGAATGTTAATATAATCATCTGTATCATACCTATTTGGTATATATTACTTTGTCATCAAAAAGGCAATGGCCATTTTTCATTCATGTAAGTGCCAGTGAAATATTTTCTTAAATATTTTCTTAAATATATTTTCAACTGCAGAGTTTGACTCTAAATTGTCTGAAATATTTACAGTAAGGATTTCTAGTTGAAATACCGTATATAGAGAAGGAACACCTATAATATTGCAATCGCATTAGATTTTCTGAAAACAAGGTACTCTATAATGAGTTCTAGACAAAAATCAATCTAAATGATATAAAATTAGTGTTTATGTTCACAAAAATATTTATTTATTTAAATTAACTCTAATCCTCCTGAGAATTAACCCTCTCAATTTTAACCTGTGTAAACTTATAAACATTTCTTGCCATTATGGTATCAAAATGTGATGATTACAGCAGAGGCGGAAAAAAGTTAAAACAGCCCTTGTTCAGCCAATTGATATCAAACCCAACATAAGAGGCCTTAAAAATATTCTTCTCTTTTATAGCAAATTCTATGTATCTTTCCATGATTATTTTTGTAGGTTAAAATCCTGCATGCATACAAAGCCAAGTCTGAAAGCATTCACTCCAGGAGTAAAACTTTCCAACAGGCAGAGCTAATTCTTGGAAAAGAAGGCTATAAAAACAACTCAAGAGTGATGCAGGGATTAGCCAAGCAGAAAATAGAATCCGTGTCACCATTCTCAGGAAGTCAAAATAAAGGGGATTAAAACCAAACCCTAACGGGTTTGTAAATGTCATTTTGAGGATACAAAAATTTCTCTCGAGTCCTAGTGTCCTTCCTTTTTTGGTCAAATTTGACTGTCATTATTCATTTTTGTTCTAAAGTTACCCTGGTAAATAAGTAAGAACATTTCCATATCATATTTCATATCCTAAATGGAAATGGCTTTCTACACTAATATTCAAAAGACATCTAGAACAGGCGCAATCTTTTATCCCTGATTTTTTGTTTTATTCCTTTAAAGAGAACATCCTCACTTTGTTATTCACAGGGGAAAGCTGACAAAGCACTCTCTTAATATAGGGAGGATTTTTTTTTTTTTTTTGGACTGGCAAACAAACCAATCTGTTTGAAACTCAGAGAAACAATGTATATGAAACCCACGACCAACGCATGTAGAATGTACTGTCTTACAGAGAAATCATAACGGGAAGAGAATTGTCTGATTCACAAAAGGATATTTTTAAAGAGATATACCTATTATCTATGAGCATAAACATACATAATTTATTAAGTTTACCCTAGATGTACTTATTTTTGCATATGTTAGCATCTAAACACACTAGAAACAGCTCCTGAAATCGCTTATGCTAATGCCTACTGCTACTCATTTTAAAAGGCAATTCCACTTAAAACTAAACCTCAGGCCTCAAAACACCAGTTAAGGCCAAAGCATATCAAATTCTATATATGAAATCCTACAAGGTTTCAATGACTTCCTAATTTTATAAAGCAATTCTATCAACAAAGCTTATGTTTAAAATTGTCAAAGCATTATTTGGCAGGTATTTCTTAAACCAAATATAGCTTCAATCCCCCAATAATAAAATTCTCCCCAAATGTTTCATTATTCTCCTAAGGGGCATAACTAATTTAAAATGAAATTTCTTTGGAGAGTAGCCAACATCATGCATAAGCTACAGAACCAATATCTGGTTAAATAAAAATATGAACATCACAAAAGCAATTACTATACAGGCATGAATCACGAATTTTGCTGGTAAATCTATCGAAGAGAGTGTTCTAAGTCTGAGACTTCAAGAGATGGTGTTCTGTCTTTTGTGACTAAGCAGTCAGTAAATAAAAATTCTTATGAGTTATTATTTTTTTCTTTGAATCATCATTGAGATTATCTCCTGAAAAATGCTGAGCAAAAATGTATAAATGTGTACTTGGTGGTTTCCCTAACACAATGGCAAGAATTGACATATTTTAAAAATATATGACTTATGCTGAATCCTCATCTTATTTGCAGCCATAAGTAAACTTTAAGAAACTTTTTATTATTATACTTTAAGTTTTGGGATACATGTGCAGAACGTGCAGGTTTGTTACATAGGTATACACATGCCATGGTGGTTTGCTGTACCAATCCGTCATCTATGTTAGGTATTTCCCCTAATGCTATCACTCCCCTAGCCCCACACACCCCAAAAGGCCCCAGTGTGTGATGCTCCACTGCATCCATGTCTTCTGGTTGTTCAACTCCGATTTATGAGTGAGAACATGCCGAGTTTGATTTTCTGTTCCTATGTTAGTTTGCTGAGAATGATGTTTTCCAGCTTCATCCACATCCCTGCAAAGGACATGAAACTCATCCTTTTTTGTTGCTGCATAGTATTCCATGGTGTATATGTGCCAAATTTTCTTTATCCAGTCTATCATTGATGGGCATTTGGGTTGGTTTCAAGTCTTTGCTATTGTGAATAGTGCTGAAATAAGCACAGAATAATTTATAATCCTTTGGGTATATACCCAGTGATGGGATTGCTTGGTCAAATGGTATTTCTGGCTCTAGATCCTTGAGCAATCACCACACTGTCTTCCACAATGTTTGAACTAATTTACACTCCCAACAGTGTAAAATCATTCCTATTTCTCCATATTCTCTCCAGCATCTGTTGTTTCCTGACTTTTTGATGATCACCATTCTAACTAGCATGAGATGGTATCTCATTGTGGTTTTGATTTTCATTTCTCTAATGACCAGTGATGATGAACTTTTTTTTCACATACTTGTTGGCCACATAAATGTCTTCTTTGAGAAGGGTCTGTTCATACCCTTTGCCTACTTTTTGATGGGGTTATTTTCCTGTAAATTTGTTTCTTGTAGATTCTGGATATTAGCCCTTTGTCAGATAGATAGATTGCAAAAATTTTCTCCCATCCTATAGGCTGCCTGTTCACTCTGATGATAGTTTTCTTTTGCTGTGCAGGAGCTATTTAGTAAGATCTCATTTGTCAATTTTGGCTTTTCTTGCCATTGCTTTTGGTGTTTCAGTCATGAAGTCTTTGCCCATGCCTATGTCCTGAAAGGTATTGCCTAGGTTTTCTTCTAGGGTTTTTATGGTTTTAGGTATTACATTTAAGTCTTTAATCCATCTTGAGTTAATTTTTGTATAAGGGGTAAGGAAGGGGTCCAGTTTCAGTCTTCTGCATATGGCTAGCCAGTTTTCCCATCATCATTTATTAAATAGGGAATGCTTTCCCCATTGCTTGTTTTTGGCAGGTTTGTCAAAGATCAGATGGTTGTAGATGTGTGGTGTTATTTCTGAGGCCTCTGTTCTGTTCCATTCGTCTATGTATCTGTTCTGGTACCAGTATCATGCTGTTTTGGTTACTGTAGCCTTGTAGTGTAGTTTCAAGTAAGGTAGCATGATGCCTCCAGCTTTGTTATTTTTGCTTAGGATGGTTTTGGCAATGCAGGCTCTTTTTTAGTTCCACATGAAATTTAAAGTAGTTTTTTTCTAATTCTGTGAAGAAAGTGAATTGTAGCTTAATGAGGTAACATTGAATCTATAAATTACTTCGGGCAGTATGGCCATTTTCATGATATTGATTCTTCCTATCCATAAGCATGGAATGTTTTTTCATTTGTTTGCGTCCTCTCTTACTTCCTTGAGCAGTGGTTTGTAGTTCTCCTTGAAGAGGTCCTTCACATCCCTTATAAGTTGGATTGCTAGGAATTCTATTCTCCTTGTAGCAATTGTAAATGGGAGTTCACTCATGATTTGGCTGTTTATTATCGGTGTATAGGAATGCTTGTTATTTTTCCACATCGATTTTGTATCCTGAGACTTTGTTGACACTGCCTATCAGCTTAAGGAGATTTTCGGCTGAGATGATGGGGTTTTCTAAATATACAATCATGTCATCTGCAAACAGAGAATTTGAATACCCTTTCTTTCTCCTGCCTGATTGTGCTGGCCAGAACTTCCAATACTATGTTGAATAGGAGTGATGAGAGAGGGAATTTTTGTCTTGTGCCAGTTTTTAAAGGGAGTGCTTCCAGCTTTTGCCCATTCAGTATGATATTGGCTGTGGGTATGTCATAAATAGCTCTTATTTTGAGACACATTCCATCAATACCTAGTTTATTGAAAATTTTTAGCATGAAGGGTAGTGAATTTTATCAAAGGCCTTTTCTGCATCTATTGAGATAATCATGTGGTTTTTGTCATTGGTTCTGTTTATGTGATGGATTACGTTTGTTGGTTTCTGTATGTTAAACTAATCTTGCATCCCAGGGATGAAGCCAACTTGATCATGGTGGATAACCTTTTTGATGTGCTGCTGGATTCGGTTTGCCAGTATTTTATTGAGCCTTTCACATTGATGTTCATCAGGGATATTGACCTGAAATTTTTTTTATTGTGTCTCTGCCAGGTTTTGGTATCAGGATGATGTTGGCCTCATAAAATGAGTTAGGGAGGAGTCCTTATTTTTCTATTGTTTGGAATAGTTTCAGAAGGAATGGTACTAGCTCCTCTTTGTACCTCTGGTAGAATTCGGCTGTGAATCTGTCTGGTCCTGGGCTTTTTTTGGTTTGTAGGCTATTAATTACTGCCTCAATTTCAGAACTTGTTATTGTTCTATTCAGGGATTTGACTTCTTCCTGGTTTAATCTTGGAAGAGTGTATATGTACAGGAATTTTTCCATTTCTTCTAGATTTTCTAGTTTATTTGCGTGGAGATGTTTATAGTATTCTCTGATGGTAGTTTGTATTTCTGTGGGATCAGTGGTGATATCCCCTTTATCATTTTTTACTGTGTCTATTTGATTCTTCTCTCTTTTCTTCTTTTTTAGTCTGGCTAGCCATCTATTTTGTTAATCTTTTCAAAAAAACAGCTCCTGAATTGAGTTTTTTTTTTTTAAGGGTTTTTCGTGTCTCTATCTCCTTCAGTTCTGCTCTTAGTTATTTGTCTTCTGATAGCTTTTGAATTTGTTTGCTCTTGCTGCTCTAGTTCATTTAATTGTGATGTTAGGATGTCGATTATAGATCTTTCCCACTTTCTCCTGTGGGCATTTAGTGCTATAAATTTCCCTCTTCTAAACACTTCTTTAGCTGTGTCCCACAGATTCTGCTACATTGTGTGTTTGTTCTCATTGGTTTCAAAGAACTTATTTATTTCTGCCTTAATTTCATTATTTACCCAGTAGTCACCCAGGAGCAGGTTTGTTCAGCTTCCATGTAGTTGTGCACTTTTGAGTTTCTTAATCCCGCATTCTAATTAGATTGCACTGTGATCTGAGAGGCTGTTATGATTTTCATTCTTTTGCATTTGCTGAGGAGTATTTTACTTCCAATTATGTCGTCAATTTTAGAATAAGTGCAATGTGGTGCTGAGAAGAATGTATATTCTGTTGATTTGGGGTGGAGAGTTCTGTAGATGTCTATTAGGTCTGCTTGGTCCAGAGCTGAGCTCAAGTACTGAATATCCTTTTTAATTTTCTGTCTCGTTGATCTGTCTAATATTGACAGTGGGGTGTGTTCAAGTCTCCCACTATTATTGTGTGGGAGTCTAATACCCAGTGGTGCCTGGAACGCCAGCGAGACAGAACCGTTCACTCCCCTGGAAAGGGGGCTGAAACCAGGGAGCCAAGTGGTCAAGTTCAGCAGATCCAACGCCCACGGAGCCCAGCAAGCTGAGATCCACTGGCTTGTAATTCTCGCTGCCAGCACAGCAGTCTGAAGTGGACCTGAGGCTCCAGCTTGGTGGAGGGAGGGGCGTCCGCCATTACTGAGGCTTGAGTAGGCGGTTTTCCCTCACAGTGTAAACAAAGTCGCTGGGAAGTTCAAACTGGGCAGAGCCCACTGTAGCTCAGCAAAGCCACTGTAGCCAGACTGCCTCTCTAGATTCTTCCTCTCTGGGCAGGGCATCTCTGAAAGAAAGGCAGCAGCCCCAGTCAGCGGCTTACAGATAAAACTCCCATCTCCCTGAGACAGAGCACGTGAGGGAAGGGGCAGCTGTGGGTGCAGCATCAGCAGACTAAACGTTCTTGCCTGCCGGCTCTGAAGAGAGCAGCAGATCTCCCAGCACAGCACTGGAGCTCTGCTAAGGGACAGATTGCCTTCTCAAGTGGGGCCCTGACCCCCGTGCCTCCTGCCTAGGAGATGCCTCCCAGCAGGGGTCGACAGACACATCATACAGGAGAGCTCTGGCTGGCAACTGGTGGGTGCCCCTCTGGGACGAAGCTTCCAGAGGATGGAACAGGCAGCAATCTTTGCTGTTCTGCAGTCTCTGCTGGTGATACCCAGGCAAATAGGGTCTAGAGTGGACCTCCAGTAAACTCCAGCAAACCTGCAGCAGAGGGGCCTGTTTGAAGGAAAACTAAAACAGAAAGGAATAGCATCAACAAAAAGGACATCCACTCAGAAACCCCATCTGAAGGTCACCAATGTCAAAGATCAAAGGTAGATAAATCCACAAAGATGAGGAAAAACCAGCACAAAAAGGGTGAAAATTCCAAAACCCAGAACACCTCTTCTCCTCCAAAGGATCACAACTCCTCACCAAACAAGAGAACAAAACTGGATGGAGAATGAGTATGACGAATTGACATAAGTAGGCTTCAGAAGGTGGGTAATAAACTCCTCCAAGCTAAAGGAGCATGTTCTAACCCAATGGAAGGAAGCTAAGAACCTTGAAAAAAGGTTAGAGGAGTTGCTAACTACAATAACCAGTTTAGGCAAAACAATAAATGACCTGATGGAACTGAAAAACACAGCACAACAACTTCATGAAGCATACACAAGTATCAATAGCTCAATCGATCCAGCAGAAGAAAAGATATCAGAGATTGAAGATCAACTTAATGAAATAAAGTGTGAAGACAAGATTAGAGAAAAAAGAATGAAAAGGAATGAACAAAGCCTCCACGAAATATGGGACTATGTGAAAAGACAAAACCTAAGTTTGATTAGTATACCTGGGAAAACATTCTTCAGGATATTATCCCGGCGAACTTTCCCAAACTAGCAAGACAGCCCACCATTCAAATTTAGGAAATACAGAGAACATCCACAAAAATACTCCTCAAAAAGAGCAACCCCAAGACACATAATTGTCAGATTCACCAAGGTTGAAATGAAGGAAAAAATGTTCAGGACAGTCAAAGAGAAAGGTCGGCTTACCCACAAAGGGAAGCCCATCAGACTAACAGCAGATCTTTCTGCAGAAACCCTACAAGCCAGAAGAGAGTAGGGGCCAATATTCAACATTCTTAAAATAATTTTTAACTCAGAATTTCATAGCCAGTCAAACTAAGCTTCATAAGCGAAGGAGAAATAGAATGCTTTAAAGACGAGCAAATGCTGAGAGATTTTGTCACCACCAGGCCTGTCTTACAAGAGCTCCTTCAGGAAGCACTAAATATGGCAAGGACAAACCAGTACCAGCCACTGCAGAAGCATACCAAATTGTAAACACCATCGACACCATGAAGAAACTGCATCAACTAACAAGCAAAATAACCAGCTAGCATCATAATGACAGGATCAAATTTACACATAACAATATTAACCTTAAATGTAAATGGGCTAAATGCCCCAATTAAAAGACACAGACTGGCAAATTGGATGAAGAGTCAAGACCAAATGGTGTGCTGTAGTCAGGAGAGCAATCTCACGTGCAAAGACACACATAGGCTCAAAATAAAAGGATAGAGGAATATTTACCAAGCAAATGGAAAGCAAAAAAAATAAAAGCAGGGGTTGCAATTCTATTCTCTGATAAAATAGACTTTAAACTAACAAAGATTTAAAAAAAACAAAAAAAGACAAAGAAGGGCATTACATAATGGTAAAGGGATCAATGCAATAAGAAGTCCTAACTATCCTAAATATATATGCACCCAATACAGGAGCACCCAGATTCATAAAGCAAGTTCTTAGAGACCTACATAGAGACAGACTCCCAAACAATAATAGTGGGAGACTTTAACACCCCACTGCCAACATTAGATCAACGAGACAGAAAATTAACAAGGATGTTCAGTACTTGAACTCAGCTCTGGACCAAGTGGACCTCACAGACATCTACAGAACTCTCCACCCCAAATCAACAGAATATACATTCTTCTCAGCACCACATCATACTTATTCTAAAATTGATCACATAATTAGAAGTAAAACACTCCTCAGCAAATGCAAAAGAATGAAAATCATAACAACCAACCTCTCAGACCACAGTGCAAACAAATTAGAACTCAGGATTAAGAAACTCACTCAAAACCATACAACTACATGGAAACTAACAATCTGCTTCTGAATAACTACTGGGTAAATAACAGAATTCTGACAGAAATAAAGAAGTTCTTTGAAACCAATGAGAACAAAGATACAATGTGCCAGAATCTCTGGGACACAGCTAAAGCAGTGTTGAGAGGGAAATTTACAGCACTAAATGCCCACAGGAGAAAGCGGGAAAGATCTAAAATCAACACCCTAACATCACAACTGAAAGAACTAGAGAAGCCAGAGCAAGCAAATCAAAAGCTAGCAGAAGACAAGAAATAACTAAGATCAGAGCAGAACTGAAGGAGACGGAAACATTTAAAAAAAAAAAAAAAAAAAAAAAAAAACATCAACAAATCCAGGAGGTGTTTTTTTTTGAAGAGATTAACAAAATAGACTGCTAGATAGACTAATAAAGAAAAATAGAGAAGAATCAAATAGACACAATAAAAAATGATAAAGGGGATATCACCACTGATCCCACAGAAATACAAACTACCATCAGAGAATACTACAAACACCTCTACGCAAATAAACAGGAAACCTGTTTAAGCGATAAGATGCTCTTTCAATTGGAAGAGTCTATATATAGAAAGGCTTTACAGATATGAGATTTTATTGGGAAAACGAGACCATAAGCAGTGGCTGGATCTTCATTAATCAGCCTGTATTTCATATTACATTTTGTTGATTTTAAATTGTTGAAGTTTGAGACAGTAAAATGGTGATCTTATAGGATATACAATGTACCTTTCTACATATACTTCCCACTTAGGAGAGCATATGGAGTTAGGTATACCAGGCTCTTTTAGCTATAAAATACACTATTCATGTACCTGCCTTTTTCTGATTACAGGCTCGTCAACCTACTTTTTAAAATTGTTTTTATTCATTTAAATTTTTTGTGGATATATACATAGGTGTATATATTTACCTATTTTCTGATTATGATGTGGATGCCCATTTAGGCACTCCTATTCTGTAAGTTCAAAGGAGCACTAGAGGTCAAAAGCCATTTTGTCACTTAATAAGAAAAATATCTATTTTTAAATCTTCTCTTACTGTTTTATGAAAGGATAGGACACACACAAGAATAACTAGAGCATACACCCCAATAATGGGAACTGACCATATGTGATTCAATAAAAAACAAACATATTAACAGCCTTATCTTTCAAATTCATACAGTATAGCTCTTTATCCTCAGAGGTTGAAGTCCGTATTTTCATTATGTCTGCCCTTTCTACCTCACTGAACTAAGAGAAAACATACAAATGTGTACTACGAGTCAATAGTAAAGTAATCCTCCCCTATACTGCAAACTAAGGACGTAGGATTAATAGTTTCTCCCTTAGAGCTAAAAACAGGGGTAGGAGGGATACTATCGTGTATAGAAGCAATAAAAAGGGGTTACAGTATTCAGTGTTCAGCCATGCATTATCCAAAGGAGAAGAAACATTTCAAGTCAACTTAATCTGATCCCAACTTCACAAACTAACATTTTTGTTGTAATTTGCTTTCCCAAGTACATGTGCTTATCAAGAGCAATATATTTGTCAATTGTATGTGAATATTCTGCTGCTTGTTATATCTCATTTAAGATTACTGAATTTCCATTTTTATTTATATATCACTTTTTAAACTTAAAGTTAACTCCTCCCACCCCAATGTGGATCTGCTAGATGATCTGAGGCAATCAGGCTTCTGCGTCTGCAAAACTGAGTACTAGATTCTGGTTGATAATAAATTCACTGGCAAAAGGCTGTCTTCTGGGTCATTTTTGAGTTTTCTTGATGGGACCTACCATCCATATTGAAAGATCTCCTGTTTTGGAATTGATGAAATCGATTTAATATTCCCAAAAGCATTTAATTATCAGCTTCTATTGTAGAACAGCTTCTACCCAAATATCATCTTCAATCCCACCGATTTCACTTTTCCAACTCCTGATTTTAGAGTGTAGTAAAGCCTTGAGAATTGAGAACAGAGGCTACCATTTCAAAATTGGCATGGCAAAAAGTGTACTTCATAGGCTAGAAGAAGAGTAGAGGTCACAGTGTTATTATCTCTGTAATCTCTACGTCTGGAAGGTATGACTATGTAGCACCAGAGATAAGAGTCAAAGTTATTGAAGTGTAATGTAATAAAAATATAAATACACTTCTGCCTATCAACTAAAGAAGCAGAAAATGAGTAACCATCCAACAGAGGATCTCCCCAGAGTGAAAAATTACAACAGAAGTAGTGGCAGGAATAGATTTCCTGATTTAAATAGTAAACCATGTTGCCTTTTATAGAGTATATGAATGAAATTGGCAAGAGTAGCTAATTAATTATAGCTGATTACTCTATCAAATCTCTTGGTAGCATAAGCAAAACATTAACTTTTTATAATTATTTGGAGTCAATGCACTCCAAATGCAGTATGCTCCATCCATAGGGCATACACATTTTAAAGGCTTTTTTCCTAAAAGTCTTCACTGCAATTTTAGATACTGGTATTTTGAGAACTAGAATTAAATAAGACAATTCATAATATAGTGCAAGAAGGCTGAACATTTTAAATATATCTACAGTATTGGAAAACTTAAGATATGTAGTTTTGTATTTTGTGTAGAAATGACAAGTCTCAGATGAAAACATTAAACTCTACCATACTAAAAGCAGTGGTAGTCCAGAAATTTACCAACCTTCAGGATCGAGTAGTTTCTCTATGCCTAATTGATATCTGGCGATGTTGAATGCATGTTCCAGTCGTTGTGTGGCTGACTGCTGGCAAACCACACTATTCCAGTCAAATAGGTCTGGCCTAAAACACATACACATACACACATACACAAAGACAAATATAAATCAATCTAGAATGTTCCATGAGATTTACTTCCATGCTTAATTTTCATTGACAACCAATGCCCATAGTCCTTAAGTCTTGAGTGTAATTCATTTACCCTTTAAAATATTTCTATTTAAACAAGTAATAATTTTAATGGAAGATCTCATTGGGTGTGGTGGCTCATGCCTGTAATCTCAACAATTTGGGAGACGGAGGTGGGCAGATCCTTTGAGCCCAGAAGTTCAAGACCAGCCTAGACAATTTGGTGAAACCTTGTTTCTACCAAAAAAAAAAAAAAAAAAAAAAAAAAAGAAAGAAAGAAAGAAAGAAAGAAAAACTAGCTGGGTGTGGTGTCACATGCCTACAGTTCCAACTACTCAGAAGGCTGAGGTGGGAGGATCACCTGAGCCCAGGGAGGTTGAGGGTTCAGTGAACCATAATCGTGCCACTGTACTCTAGCCTGGGCAACAGAGTGAGACCCTGTATCAAAAAAGAATGCTGAGGATGTATACCTTAAATACATACAACGTTTATTTGTCAATTATACAGCAATAAAGATGTGGGGAAAAAAGAAAATCCTGAAGATGACAAATAATCTACGCTAGCTTATCCAAGCAACAAAAATTTATCTATCTCATCCAGTCTCGTGGATTTCAATACCAGCCATTTACTGGTAATGCCCAGTTTTATATGTCTAACCCAGACCTCTTCCCTAAACTTCAAATTATAGATTCTTCTAAACACTCATTATCTCCATTTAGTAATCACAAGCTTCAAGTGTCCTGAACTGAGCTTCTGATGTTTATCCTCATCATACTCCCCCAAACCTACCTACTTTTCTTGCTGTTCTCCCTTCCTCAATAATGAACAATGTGTTTAAAATTGCAGTTGCTCAGATAAAAACCCTTGGAGTCATCCTTAATGACTATTTTACTCTCACACAACATTTAATTCAAAATGTATTCAGAATTTGACTGCTTCTGACTATCCTCACTGCCATCACTCTAGTCCAAAATCCATTTTATCTTGCATGAATTATCACAATAGCCTCATAACTCTTCTCTCACTCTTGCCTGCGTTAATTAGTGCATAGCAGAGTTGCCAGAGTGATCTGTTAACATGTTTCATCATATCCGTCTTCTCAAATCTCTGCTTTAGGGGAAGTACAAATTACGTATTTCATGTGATCTACGAAGTCCAACAGGGTCCAGGTCCCTATTAACTCTCTGATTTTATTTCTTGTCTCTTTCCTCATATTCCATAAACAGGATCCATAGTTTCCTGCACTTGGATTTGGAATTCGCTTTTCGAAGACATAAACATGGCTCACTCCTTTACTTCCATTGGGTCTTTACTCGAAAATCACATCACTGATAAGTTCTTCCCTGCCCAAGCCCTATCTAAAATTGCATGCTGGCCAGGCACCTTGGCTCACACCTGTAAACCAAGCACTTTGGGAGGCTGAGGCTGAAGGATTTGCTTGAGGCCAGGAGTTAGAGACCAACCTGAACCACATAGTGAGACCTGGTCTCTACAACTTATTAAAAAAAAAAAAAAAAAATAGCCAAGTGTGCTGGCATGCCCCTGTGGTCCCAGCTACTCAGGAGGCTGAGGTTGGAGAATCACTTGAGCCTGGGTGGCTATAGTGAGCCATGATTGTACCACTGCACTCCAGCCTGGGTGACTGAGGAAGAACCAGTCTCCTAAATAGATAAATGAAAGAAAACTGCATGCCTCAAATCAAACTCACATATACTTATTTTCTTTCTCCTTATCTGCTTTATACTATTCTCATTAACACTTACTATTTAACGTATTATATAATTTAATTAAATTTCTCTGTGTATCTTTCTCTTCCACTAGAATGTACAATCTTTTATTGCCTATTTTGTTCACTGCTGGAAACCTAGCCTGACACAAAATAAAGGCTCAACAAATATTTATCAACTACACGAGAGAATGGATGAGCACATGAAACTTACATACCATGTTACTTGATAATAGAGAAAATGCAAAGGAGTGTAAGAGGCAGTTCTTGTCTTATAAGGATTTTAAATTTAATGAGCAAGAAAAATGAAGAAGCCATATGAATTAATTAAACTCTAAATGTGAAAAAACACAGACAATAAGAAAATGTTTTGTAAAATCTGAAGCGGTCAAGAAAGTTTTCTGAGGCTGAAAGACAGATTAAATAGACGTTTCGACTTGCATTAAAAAAAATGTATTGATAATAGAATTCTAAGTTGTGTGAGCGTTAGAGAATTAAAGTTCTTAGGGAAGGAAAAAAGCAAAACATGCTCAGATAATCAAGACCTCACAGGCCTGGCTCCATTGGAAGATTCTAAGTATCAAGTGGTGGGAGATAGGTTTAAAAGAAAGAAACTGGCTGAGTTTGCATAAGGTGTTGGCTGTTAACGTATTATAATTTATCCCAACAGCACTGGAAGTCATTAGTCAAGTGGTTCTTCACCTATTCTGAATCACAGACACCTTTGAGAATCTGTTGAGAGCTATGAAACTTCTACTCCTACAAAAAAACTCTCCATATCTGTGAACAGAGTCTACATACAGTTTTAGAATATTTGAATCTATTAATGGACTCCTGTTTAAGAGCTCATGCTATGCAAAAACAAAAAAACAAAATAACGAAAAAAACAAAAAAAAAGTTACAAAGGTAGTTTAGCTGTTATTTTTCTAAAACTGTAATTCAAAATTGGCCAGGCGCAGTGGCTCCCGCCTATACTCCCAGCACTTTGGGAGGCCGAGACGGGTCAATCACCTGAGGCCAGGATTTCGAGACCAGCCTGGACAACATGGTAAAACCCCGACACTACTAAAAATACAAAAATTAGCAGGGCATGGTGGCTCGTGCCTATAGTCCCAGCTACTCAGGAGGCTGAGGCAGTAGAATCGCTTGAACCTGGGAAGTGGAGGTTGCAGTGAGCCAAGGTTGGCCCACTGCGCTCTAGCCTGTGCAACAGAGCGAGACTCCGTCTCAAAAAAATACATAAATAAAGGTATAGGTTTATTGGTTTCTTCTTAATTGCTTCTACTCTAGTTAATACACCAGAATTTTTACAATTATTAGGAAATCGAATCCCTCCATATTTTCCAATACCCCTAACAGCTAACAAGCTTATGGAAACTAGCTTATTTACAAATTGGATAATGCCTTTGTTATGAAAAATATATAAAAAAATTTAAAAATTGTAGAATATTTAGGGGACTTTTAAGTTCACTATGCGCACTCTGCCTTATCTTCATTTTTTTCTGTAGGCAATGGGAGTAAAAAAAGGACATAGGTGGGAACATATGAGAAACTAGTTTTCTCATCTATGGCATAGTATACAAGGTTAAATTGAGTATGATGAGAAAAAAGAGCATTGCTTATGCATTCGTGCTGTATTCCCTTGTCTTACCTTCCCCATTTCCTTGGCCACTAACTAACCAACTGAGTGTGTGGATATCTTATCTAAGTCATATAATTTATTTGAGCTTTGGCATTCTCATTCAAAAAGCATTGAACCAAAAGGCCTTTGAGGTCACGTCTAGCATTAAAAATGAATTGAATTCTTTTATACTATTAAAATTAATTAACATTTTAAATATCTATGACTTTCAAATGCATAAAAATTGTAAAACTAACCAACTATGAAGGAAACCCACACAGCATTTAATGTTAACCTGGACCATAATTTATTGACTTGCAACCAAGGATCACCAGATTTTTAATTAAATCAACACCATGATTAGGATAGTGTAAATTTAAATCCTAGCTCTACCACATGTTAGCCAAACAGTTTTAGGTAAATTACGTAACCTCTCTATGACTCAATTTATCTATTTGTGAGATGGGTAAAATGACAGCATCTACGTCATGGAACTTGATTGAATATTTTACCTAGAACGGTGTCTACAAAATAATAATTGTTTAAAAACATTCGTTTCTATTATTTTGCTGTAATGTTAATTACATTTATATAAGAAGAGTGATGTATTTTCAATTTACAGACTCAAGCCAAAAACACCTATCTTTACAGAACTGATATAAATGTTACAAATACTACTGATGCAAACAGAATGTAATCCGAAATGGGAGGTGGAGAAGAGGCGAGAGTAAGAATGTGTGATGATTTTCTCGTTTTTCATATTGGTCAAAAGTTCCTTTCTAAACTTGGTAAAAATTTAAAATGAGGTATACTCATACCATTTAATGTAATAAAAGCAAAAATTACAACTATAAAATGATTATAAGTAATAAAATTAGGAAATACCTGGGGATGAAACATAATATGGCTGGTTTTCATACTATGGAGTAAATACCTATACTGTTAGAAATTAGTTTGTCAACAAGTAGAAACATTATCACACATATTATTATAACCAGCAGGAACCAAAGTACAAGTAGCTGACAGTGACTGCATCTAAGAATTGAAATAAGGTAAGTTAAGATTGGGGTCATGAAGACACATTGTGTTTCTGTTTTCCCTTTGCTCCTGATTCTAGTGTTCATTTGCTTCTAATTTGCTGTGGTAATACACTAAAATAAGGATTTAGGAAGACAATTGTAACTTTATAGTTATTGTAATTTTATCTGCATCTTTTGTACATATTTCTAAGCAATTATCATTGGGTTTTAACACAAAAAGTAGAAATCTGGCTTCCTTTGAAGGGTATTGTAGTGGACTTTGCGTTTTATCACACAACTTTTAACTGCCATGACACTTAGTCAATCCTTATGCTCTATATTAACTACATGTCTTTGTTCTGTATAGTTGAACCACTCAATTATTGAAATGAGGGCACCTCATGACATTCCTAATTGTGCCAACGACAATCGCTATGGAACAGAGAGTTCAACCATTTTTTTCTTTAGATAAAGAATATGAACATCTGCCAAATACAAAAAGAAGGGGGAGATGATTCATGAAAGAACATTAAACAACTGTGAAGAACCTCTTGAAAAGTAACCATGTAATACATAAAGAGAGTTACTGATGATTCATCCAATATGACAGGAGAGAGTATATAAATGAGGATATTTTGACAGAGAAAGAGTGGGTCAGGGACAGATAAAACAGGGCAATTTGGGTATGTTTACTGTATTACCTACAAATGTATTCAGAAATCATTAAATAGAATATTAACAAATATAGAGTGGGAACATGCTTGCAGGATTGAAGTCTTCCACTTGAAGGGAAAAACGTTAGAGAGCCAACAAGGACCACATAACCTGATCCTTGATATTTTTATTCATCTGCAAATGTGTACATGAACAGCAAAATCAATATTTTCGGGCCCTTAGTGTTAAGCATGTGGCTGCATAAATGAGCATTGACTTAAAACACAGACAGAATGTCTCTATCCCTTCTCATCTAACTGTATTGAGGCTGTGGAAACATTTTCTTCTGTCATACGAGAAACAATGTGTTAACGCTGCTTAACGTGACATTTGAATGCATGTCTGCCTCTGTTCTAAATCAGGTTGCTGAGTAATTCACCTGGAAACCCAGTCGGGATGGGGTTAATTAAATCCAGCTGGAGCAAGACACCTGACAAAGATGCTTATTTGAAATGTGTTTGCTCTTGGACTGAGCTTTACCTTAGAGAAAATTAATATTCTTAGCTTTTCTAGAAGCAGGATTGGCATAGGAAAATGGTAGAGTGGTCAAAAAAAAAAAAAAATCAAAGTGAGAAAACATAACTTGCACTGAAAATTAGGCAAGATGCAGTCCAGTGACATTTTAAACAGTTAATTAGGCAATGCATTTAGCCCTGGGTTGGGTAAATGAAACGGGTAACAGGAAGACCAAAATAAAGTGACTGTAGTCCCTCTCTCTCAAATACACACACACAAGCATATATATATATATATATATATATATACACACACACACACACATATATATACATATATAGAGTATAAATGGTGTAGTATATATGGCATATAGTATATATTGTATCTCTAAGTGTATGTGTACATATACATATGTATTTCCTACACTGCTTTGCTTTTTCTTGAACTGTTATTAATTCATTTACTGAACTTTACACAAGAAAAGCAAAAAAAATCTTTTTCATCTTAAGAAATATAATGTTGAATGGAATATAGTTAAGGACTTTGGTTCACTGTATTACAGTGAATTCTTTTTATTAAAATCCACAAAAGATCTCTCTCTTGCTTTATAGCAATTGATTTGCTGTTCCAGTGCAATTGTTTCTGTTGGTATTCAAAACATTGTGTCATATAATTAATTGTGTTCTGCTCTTTGTCTTGGTTACTAAAAATGCTCTGAGCATCTTATGACCCTGAACTAGAACAAAGTATACAGGGCTTTATGGTGTTTGATATCAAAGTGTGTATCTGATAAGACAGATGTTTCTTTCTCCACACTACGTATCTGATGATGGTAATTAATTTAACTACAACTACTCACATGAGATCTAGTATCATTTTTACCTGTATAGTTTAGGCTTATACAAACACATTATCTGTATAAAAAGACCAACACCATTCTCGGCAAAGTTAGAATACAACCTGGATTTACTGGGATTCCCAGTGTCAAACATATTGATACTCTCCCCCTCCACTATAACCACTTTCACGCTCCGCTAATGTTAATGTTTCAACAACTGAATTATATGTATCCCATAGAACACTGGAAAATATTCTTAATTAGTTCATTCCAATGGAACGTTAGATCAATGTGGTCAATGTACATAACATGTTGTAAAGTAGGACATGATCTGGAACCATACTGGGGAAAAATATGTCATCAGAGTCTAAATCACCACTTTTACAAGTTATTTAATGTCTCAGTAATCTTCTTACCTATGACTATGGATGAGAGCATTCAAAGCCAGGCCATCAGACCAGCTGGTGGTGAAGTTGATTACATTAACCTGTGGATAATTACGAGTTGATTGTCGGACCCAGCTCAGGAGAATCTTTTCACTGTTGGTTTGTTGCAATCCAGCCATGATATTTTTCATTACATTTTTGACCTACATGTGGAAATAAATTTTCATAAGAAAATGCATTCCTTGAGCAAGAACCATGCAAACTTAAATATGAATGTCCTTGATCTTCAGTGATAAATAGAAATTTTAGGGCCAATTAGTAATGAGACATAATAGATTCTACCAGAAGTTAAGTCTATTCTCAAAGGCTAGGAGTCTATTCTGATTCATTGGTATCTATGCCATACCATTTACTGAATGTGTTCACTATTACTCCTGGATTCTGCCATATTAGACCCAACATTTACTGTTTATAGAATTGCTCACCTTCTAGCTTTCAATGAACAAGCTAGAGAAGACAGTGTATAAAACATTAGACTTATTGTTAACCAAGGACTTAAGATATAAAAGCGCTTTTTGGATAGGAGGAATACTATAGATAATTGTTTTTTAAAGTATATGTTCAAATTTTGCCTTTGCTATTAATTGTGGTAATTGGACAAGTTGCTTAACCTCTTCTAGGCCTCATTTCTGTGTATCTTACATGCAAGGTTAGTGTAAGATCAAAGTACAAAATATGGTCAGATAAAACCCCTGATTTCATACCATCATTTAACGCAAGCTATATTTATTGGCTGAACTGAAAAGAAGACAGAAATGTTTGCCTACCTAAAATAAAGAAAAAAAACAACAAAGGAAGGAAATATTTATCCCTAAGAGGTGTACATATGTAGCCTTGGTTCTATTTTCATTACTTGGTTTCCATGTATTTGATTGTCTCATAGGCTTCGTGCATGTGCAGATGTTATTCAACAGATTATCAAGTTTAATTCTTCTGAGTCATCTGATGCAGAAATCCATTCTAAGCATTTTTTCTAAGTTTCATGAATGCAGTGACGCTTCATAGAAAAAACTGTCTACATCTTTTATTAAAGAATTATTATTTATTAAAGACTGCTTTTTAAATATAAGCCCCTTATGAGATGCTGGAAGAAGACATCTATGTAAAAGTGATCAGTCTGTACCACTAAGCACTTTCCTTCTGGGAAGGTTAAGGTTCATATACTATCAACATTTGATCAGATGATGAATATTTATTGTGCATTCTAAATATGACAATTTTATTTTTTCATCCATATAGAAGTTAACAAATGCCTTTGGGGTAAATGCATATTTTAACATCTCCAATGTTAGTCATCTTTTTATTAAAAAGTAAATGCAAATTTTAGGATATACTACTAAATCTCATTTTAACATACTTTTAAAAGATTTGAGATGATGCTTTGTAAACACAGTAACGATTCGGAGATATGAAATCTTTGCATGTATCTGTCACAATCCCTTGATAACTAAGCCTATTATTTAGGAGTGGATTATCCAAGTTTTCCTAATTCCTTCTTGACCTACTTATTTAGTCAGTTACTCAGTGAATACAGGTCAAATAATTACGTAATTTGTCTCATATTCTAAAATTATAAATTGCTCAACCTTTATGTACAGTGACTGCAGGAGGTGTATTTTGTGTCCTGTGCTAAATTACGGTTGGAATCAGCAGATAGTGGCTTAATGGTGGTAATGGATTTGCAATAATCAAGCAATCCTCCAATGATGAATGTGATTCATTTGTGAAATGCTTGGCCAGTCTGCCCTCTATGTGCATAACGTTAAAGGACAACAAAGTATTCAATCCAAAACTCCTTTATAGCATCATTATGTCACTAATTCAGCTTATCAGCCTCAGCCTCGCTGTTATTGCTTCTACTTAGGTGCAAATGTTGCTCAGACAAAAAAAAATAATAAAGGGCAATGTATGATAATCATGTCTCCTTTTCCTACATAAAAGGCAGTTATCAAAAAATCATTGAGCTGGTCCCCAAAGGTGAGCCTGTAAACAGAAAACTGTCCCGTCCTCAGGTCTCACTGTCTCTAAAGGAGGCTCAATTTAAACAGATGTATTTGTGTGTGTGCGCGCATACAACTATAAATCAATTTTTAAAAGGAAAAAAGTTGAAATGTCTTTGAGCAGTGATTTTTAAAAATGACTAGGAGTTAACTGGGCCAAGAAGGCATGATGGACATGGAGGTGCACCACCAAGATTGACCTTCAAGGAAGGGCTTGTTGCTCCAGCTGTGGTCAGGCAGCTTCTAGTTGTTAGTTCTCTCAGGTACCACCTGAGTTGCAGAGTCCTGCCAGCCAATGTCACACCCTCTCTAGGGCAACCCACTACTATTGACTGATGAAGGGGCAGAGTATAAACACTCAGCCATTTTAACCCCATTTGAGACAACTCTGAGGGGTCATCCTAGCTGCAAGTTGTCTATGGGGTTTGAATAAGCGTGTCATAGGGTCTACGTCACAGCTCTAGTTCTTCCTCTTTCCACTCCTGTCACCTCTGCCCTTCTACAGGTGTTTTTTTTTTTTTTTTTTTTTCCAGGGCATGGCTTAATAAACATGCTGCCTGCCAAACTCAACTCCGAAGTCTACTCCCCAGAACCCAGACTGTGATTAAAAGAAGTTGCAGCAGAGGAATAGAAATGAAGAGGGTAGGAATAATCTTATATGGTAAGGATAGTTTCTGTGAAGCTCTGCAGAAGAGCAGAGCAAGAACTGTCTTGCACAGAAGTGACTTGGTAGGCAGGAATTTACAGGGATGGCTTTCAGCAGTGCGAACGTCATCATTCTCCTGTAATTGCAAATTGTATCAATAATATGAACATTCTAAAGTGAATTAGCGTTGCCATTAAGTACATCCCTTGAATTGTCCAGTAAAAGTATGGACCTGACTTCTGATAGCTCACCACTGTTAGCAAGATTTGTTATTACAACCAGCTGGTTGCCAGAGCCAAGTTTAGCACTCCGAAAAAAAAAGAATTGCACTTAAGAAGGAAGAAAAAGATGCCAAACACATGTTATATGCTTTGCAATTTTGTTCAAACCTGCCTATGTTACAAAATATGCGTTACTGTTTTAGGCTAGCAATTTTATTTGAGATGGACAGTAGAAAAACAGTAATAGGAAAACAGAGTTTGCATTCCTGAGTTTTCACAAGTTCAATGAGAAGTCCTCCATGGCACTATTAATAACATAGTATGTTGCATTAGAAAAAGGGGCCAACATGGTTCTATCTGTAAATGCCGCTCGTTATCTGATAGATCTAGAATGTACATTAAGTTGACCAAAATGTCCTTTAATCTTTGCTGAAATTCAAGGGCTTCTACCATTTAATAGGAAGAAAATATGTAATGTTGGTGTAAAAAAAAAAAAAAAAAAGAAAAACACATTTTTAGATTCACTGGATTATGATGAACACTGAGCAAGATAATTTTTCAAAGTGTGCTTAATAGTTTTAGAACAGGGCAGTGTGATATAAGAGAGATGAGATAAGTAAGCAGAGGCTGGGAAGAGTCTACAGTCTTGCAGTCTCAAGGATATGGTGATTCAAGGGCATAAATGAAAAACAACAGGCTATAAGAGAGGTCTCAGACAAAGAAAGATTTAAAAAGCATTCCTTCTGATATTCCTCATTGCAAAAGCGCCTCCACATGCTAATAATGAAAAATGGGCTGGGTGCGGTGGCTCACGCCTGTAATCCAAACACTTTGGGAGGCCGAGACGGGCGGATCACAAGGTCAGGAGATCGAGACCATCCTGGCTAACACGGTGAAACCCCATCTCTACTGAACAAAATACAAAAAATTAGCCGGGCGTGGTGGCGGGCGCCTGTAGTCCCAGCTACTTGGGAGGCTGAGGCAAGAGAATGGCATGAACCCAGGAGGCGGAGCTTGCAGTGAGCAGAGATCGCGCCACTGCACTCCAGCCTGGGTGACAGAGCGAGACTCTGTCTCAAAAATAAAAAATAAAAAAATAATAATAAATGAACAACTTGCAAGCAAGTGAAGAAATTATCAGACATAATAGTCTTGAAAGCTTATCTTGGACTAGTTCAGATGGAGTTGGAAAGGGCTTCAGGATATTTTTAAAAATGGTAAGATCATATAAGAAGTAGTATAAACAATAAATACAGTTCAGAGTGCCTTTTGGAGCTCTGTGCATGCTTGAGTTCTTCTGCTGGCTTTGTCAAAACTTACATCTGTCTTACGCAAAGCGGGATCTGCAAACTGGATTCACTCTAGGAATTATTTGTTACTATGCCATAAGATAAAGTCAACAATTCAGAGTGCATCAAGAAACTTATGTAGCGATTTTACAGAGTACCATTTATGTCTAATGTATTTAATAATAAAGGAGGAAGCATGGGTGTTGGGCATCTTATTTTTGTAACGCTTTGGTTTTATTCTATCTTACATACAATGGATTAGGGGAAAAGTGTTCCTTCCTCAAGATATTTTGAGAAGTACTGAGCAACATATGAAAAGCAGTTTGGGGAGAGATGCGGTATGTTGCTTGCTGGTTCTATTTGACACCATCACTATATGGAACGGGCTGAAAATCGGCCAACTTGGGCTCACTTAAGGCTCCTATGAGCTATTCTTTGTTGCCAGCACATATTAATTCCCGCTCTTTCTCTTCCCCTCTCCCCGCTTACTGTTGTGAAGTAGCATTAAGCCTGTTCAGAGAATTTGGAATAAAAATATATGGGGGCCAATTAGGAGAGCAACATGGCTGCTGAATTTAATAGGTACTCTTTGTGTCTACTCACTATTTGACTCTGAGCAAGAGCAATCTACAATTCAAGTTAAAATTCAAGCCGGGCGCAGTGGCTCATGCCTGCAATCCCAGCACTTTGGGAGGCCGAGGCAGGAGGATCACGAGGTCAGGAGATCGAGACCATCCTGGCTAACACGGTGAAACCCCGTCTCTACTAAAAATACAAAAAAAAATTAGCCGGGCGTGGTGGGGGGGCGCCTGTAGTCCCAGCTACTCGGGAGGCTGAGGCAGGAGAATGGCGTGAATCCGGGAGGCGGAGCTTGCAGTGAGCCGAGATCGCGCCACTGCACTCCAGCCTGGGCGACAGAGCAAGACTCTGTCTCAAAATAAAAATAAAAAAAAATAAAAATAAAAAATAAAAAAATTCAAGTTTACCGAATGAAGCCATGATATCTGCTACAATAGGGCTGGATCTGAACTATTACCCTCATTGCAAGAAGCCAGACACAAAAGAACATGTATTATATTGATATAAAATATCCAAAAAGGCAAATACATATGGACAGAAATAGATTGACAATTGCCTAGGGCTGGGGTGGGAGTGAAAAATGACTGTAAATGGAGAAGAAACTTCTTTTTAAGGTGGTGGAAAAGTGCCAAAATTAGATCGCTATGATGGCTATATAACTCTGTAAATATCCTGCAAATTTTAATGAACGTGGTGGGGGGGAGTTATTCATCCCTCAAAATAGTTTGAGAGGCTACCAAGAACCAGAACTAAACCAGATTGATGCAAATTGAATTTTACACTTAGAATGAGTACATTGATGGTCTAACAATTACATTTCAAAAACGCTGATTTATAAAAAAGTAATCCCGACCAGTAAAAACAGCAGTCATTTCTCAGCCTCCAAATTTTTTAAATGAGTGGAAAACTTTAAGCAATCAATACAAGTCATATGATACACCTCAAATAAAAGTGGTATACTACACTGAGTGCCTTGCAGATATTCTCCCACTTAATCGTGATAAGAAATACATACACATTTATTTTTATTTTTACTCTTTTGATAGTGAAGGGACCATGGCCCAGAACAGGGGTGGCAATATACCAAATGCCACTAAGATGGTAACCGTGGAAGTTTAAATTCAAGTTCATGTTGGTATATATATATACACATACATATTTATACATATGTGTATAACGAGTTACTATTACGTATATATATACAATGAGTGGAAAATATTAGTGGATATAAGTTCATGTATGATTATGTATACATATTATGATTATACTATTATGTATATGTATACAATGAGTGGATAATATTAGTGGATATAAGTTCATGTTGGTCTTATATATACATATATAATGTGTGGATATGAGTGTGTATATATATACATATATAATGTGTGGATATGAGTGTGTGTATATACACACATGCATATTGTATATATGTGTGTATATATAGACACATTATATATATACGCATATATACTACACACACACACACACGGGTGTGTGTCTGTATCTTTTCCACAAATCCTTCAACCCATTTTGCAGAGGTCAAATAGACAGTCGGAAGACCCTATGCTCAGGTGACTTAAAAATAATTTCCAAATCACATTATGGAGTTTGTATGTATTACACACATTTATTGATAGAGATACCCATATTCTACTAATCTTTTATTGGCAATAATTTATGTTAAGAATACCCAAGACTGAGAAAGCCTCATTCCTTTGGTAGTGATTAAAATAAAACATACTAAATTAACTTATAGACAAGTTATAGAACATACATTTGTGAAAAAAATTACTCACCTATGATTGGGACTTTGTATTTTTACCTTATACTTACTCAATGAAATAAAATTTTGAAAAATATTCCTGTAAATGTACCAGAACCTATTTTATACCGTGATGATCCTTAACATTTCAGACGACATGGTAGTGTCAATTTAAAAAGCAGCACTATGGAGCAGGGTTTGTTATTGTTAGAAATACACATTTGTTTCACACGTCAAGGGTAAAAATTAAAAAACAAGATTAATGTTACCCAAAAGGAAACCATTCATCAGGATTCTTACCTGCCAGTGGAGGATTATATTCCAAATCAAACCAAGAGTCAGTTTATGATTTCCATCTACGATGTCAGTACTTCCAATATTCACTAAATCAACCTGTTAAAGAAAGGGGTAAAACATTTGAAGGTAAGAGACCAAATGCCTAGTTGCAATAATAATAATAATAAAAACGTGAAGGTAATTGCATTTAGCTATTTTCAGAGACTTAGCATTGAAGCTTTTTGAAAATAATCTAAAAATTAAACAAAATGCATGTGTAAAATCACTTTCCATAACAAACAAGCACCCCAAATATATTTACTTTCAGCACATGAATAGATTACTGCAGATTAAAGAGGTCAACTGGAGTATCTCCAAATAAAATGTCATAAAGTATGTTTAAAATTAAGATATGCTTTCTAGTATGGAATTACAACTCAGAAAAATTCACCAGTACTTCCACCTAGCTCCAAGGAGTGCCATTATAATTAAGGCTGACTGCATTTTAGTAAAACGCCTCTGTTTTAGAATGAATGTTAGGTCTCTAATAAACAATGGAGCAAACTGCCAGCTCTCTTATCTCTGTCTAGGACTGTGTTTGGAAATGAAAATCTGGCAGGGTTTTATTTGCCTTAATCAAGGCAAATCTCTGTGTCTCCTGTCCTTCACACTCCTCAAATGTTTAAGGTGGAGTAAAGTTAAACACAAGCATCTGAAAAGCAAGCATATGAAAAGATGTTCAATGTTTTTAGCCAATAGAGGAATGCAAATTGTAACCACAATAATGTATCACTGCACATTTATCATAATGGTTAAAATTAAAAAATAGTGCCATAAAATGCTGGTGAGGGTGTGGAGAAACTGGATGACTCAACCCCTGCTAGTGGAAACTCAAATGATATAGCCACTTTGGAAAACAGTCTGGCAGTTTCTCACAAAACTGAACATGTACTTATTATACAATCTGGTAATTGGGCTCTTGAGCATTTATCTCAAGGAAATGAAAACACATGTGTACACAAAAACCTGCACCTAAGTGTTCATACTACGTTTATTTGTAATAGCCCCAAACTGGGAACCCAGATGCCCTCAGGGGTAGATAAACAAACCATAGTACAGCCACACCATGGAATAACACTCATCAATGAAAAGAACAAACTATTGATACATGCAGCAAATTGGATGAATTTCATGGGCATTATGCTAAGTGGGGAAAAAGTCATTCTGAAAGGGTAGCATACTGTATGAATCCGTATCTATGAGAGTCTTGAAAAGACAAAGTTACAGAAATAGAGAACAGAATAGCAGTTGGCAGAGGTCAGGAATGGGAGTAAGATGTGGGGTAGCTGAATGTTCTTATAAAAGGGCAATATGAGGGACCCTTGTAATGGTGGAACTGTTCTGCATATTGACTCTGATGGTGGATTTACAAACCTACACACGTAATAATGTTGCATAGAACTAAATACACACATATGCATGCACACATACACATAAATATGAGTAAAGCTGGGAAAATCTGAATACTATTGGTGGTTTTATGAATGTTGACATCTTGGTCATGATATCGTATTTTAGTTTTATAAGATGTTACTACATCGAAGGGGAGATTGATCATTCAAGAATAAGAAAGCATCATCATCTGCATCATCATCTGGGGATTCCTCATATGGCAGTAGAGGAGAGAAATTCCTCCATAAGGAAAAGCCACTATGAATTTATCTATTGATTCATTGATTCACTAACTCAACAAGTACCTTTTGGCTATCTGCCAGGCAATGAAGTAATAAGAGCATGTAAAAGTAAAAACCTTCTGCTTTCATGAAACTTAATTCTAGTGATAGTGACAATCAGATGATATAGCACTAAAGACTCAAGCAGTTAAGCAGAGAATATGCTATTTTTAGGAAACATACTCACTCATACTGCGGGAAGCACTGCTGGTAGATACGTTTTGGGTTGCCATGGACCTGACTCTGGGGAGACTTAGATCAAGTAATAGGAACTTAGATTCCAGTAACCCCTTATCCACTGTCATAAGACTTGTCACTGTGTAAGCAGGAAGATAGTTCCTCCATTTCCTTGTCCTCATAAAAGGTCTCATAAGGTCCAATTTCCACTATATTCAGGTACTGGGCTCAGACCTGATAAAGGAAAGTAAGGTACTACCCCCCCAGTGTCAAAAAGTTCACAACAGAAGGTCACATAATAAAAAAGTATCTACCATTAGGCTCTAGCAATTCTACCTCTATGTTTATAACCAAAATAATTAAAAACAGAGATTAAGATATTGGTAGACCAATTATCATAGTAACATTATTCACAATAGCCAAAATGTGAGAACACCCAAATGTCCATCTACAGATAAATGGATAAACAAAATGTGGTATGTACATACAACGGAATATTTTCAGCCTTAAAAAGGAATGAAATTCTGATACAAACTACAACATAAATGAACCTTGGAAACATATGCTAAGTGAAATAAGCAAGACATAAAATGACAAATATTGTATGATTCTACTTATATGAGGTACCTAAAATAGCCAAATTCATAGAGAAAAAATGGAAGTTATTAAAGGCTAGGGGAGGTGAAAATGGAGAGTAATCGTTTAATCAGTATGAATTCAACTTGGGATGATGAAATCATTCTAGAGATGGATAGCGGTGATGACTACCCAACAACAGAAATATACTTAAAGCCACTGAATTATACACTAAAAAAATAGAAAAAATGATACCTCAAACCCTATCTAGGGCAATGAACCTGAATAGACATTTCTCAAAAGAAGACAAACCAACGGCCAGCACATAAATGAAATAATGTTGAACATCACTAATCATCAGAGAAATGCAAATTAAAACTACAATGAAATATTACATCACACAGAATGGCTATTATCAAAAAGACAAAAGGTAAGTTGTGGCAAAGATGTGGAGAAAAAGGAATCTTTGCACAGTGTTGGTGGAAATGTAAATTATTGTAGTCATGAAAAACAGTATGGAGGTTTCTCAAAAAATTACAAATAAAACTACCATATAATTCAGGAATTCTACTGCTGGGTATATATTCCAAAGGAAACAAATCAATATGTCAAAGAAATAACTGCACTTCAATGTATATTGTAGTGCTACTCAAAATAGCGAAGATAGGAAATCAACTTAAGTGTCCATCAGTAGATGAAAGAATAAAGAAAATGCAGGTATACAGACCTACACACACACACACTGGAATACTACTCGGACTTAAAAAGCAGAGAATCCTCTCATTTGCAATGAAATTAATGAATCTAGAGTACGTTACGTCAAATGACATAAGCCAGGCACAGAAAGACAAACATTACATCATGTCACTTGTATATGAAATTTTAAAATGTTGAGCTCATAGAATTGAGAGTAAAATGTTGGTTAGCAGGGGATAGAGCTTGGAGGAGGAGGGTTAGGCAGATGTTGGTCAAATGATACTAAATTACATTTAATAGGAATAAATTCAAGAGATCTACTGTACAACATGCTGACTTTGGTTAATAACAATATTGTATTTTGAAAATTGCTAAGAGAATAGATTTTAAGTGTCCTCAACCCCAAATGATAAACATATAAGTTAATGTATATGTTTATTAGCTTGAAGCATTCCACAACATCTAGATATTTTAAAAAATCATATGCTACATGGTATATACAATTTTTTTTGCTAATTAAAAAATAAAAAATAGTTATATGGTAAATTTTACATCATTTGTATTTTACCACAATAAAAAATAAGTCATTGGAACACACATCGCACCCCCCCCCCACACACACACACACACAGCAGCAGCCACAGATAATACCTAAATAAATGTTCATGGTTTTTTTCCAATAAAATTTATCTATATCCACAGGAAAAACAATTAGGTAGGCAACTGTGTCTCACGGAAGCCCAAGGGGTAAGAAAAAGGAAGTAACATTGTGAAAAGATAAGCAAAAGACATAAGATATATTCATGTACTCAGTATTGATTAAATCTGTAAAGAAAAAATAGATTGGAATGAAGAAAAGTATCAGGTGGAGAAAGCATGCCAGAAAGCATTCAGATCACTAGGGGGTAATTAACTGATTGGGAATTGGAGATATTATATTCAGGGACAGAATTGTATTCAGTGGCAGACAGCTACTCTTTTTTAACTTTTATATTAGGTTCAGGAGTACATGTGCAGGTTTGTTACATAGGTAAATTGCGTGTCATGGGGGTTTAATGTACACATTATTTCATCGCCCAGGTAATAAGTATGGTGCCTGATAGGTAGTTTTTCTGATCCTCTCCCTCCTCCCACCTTTTACTCTTGAGTAGGCTCCAGTGTCTGTTGTTCCCCACTTTATATCCATGTGTTCTTGTTATTAACTCCCCTTTTTTTTTTTTTTTTTGAGGTGGAGTTTCGCTCTTGTTGCCCAGACTGGAGTGCAGTGGCACGATCTCGGCTCACCACAACCTCCGCCTCCCGAGTTTCAAGCGATTCTCCTGCCTCAGCCTCCCAAGTAGCTGGGATTACAGGCATGCGCCACCACGCCTGGCTAATTTTGTATTTTTAGTAGAGACGGGGTTTCTCCATGTTGGTCAGGCTGGTCTCGAACTCCCGACCTCAGGTGATCCCGCTCGCCTCGGCCTCCCAAAGTACTAGGTTACAGGTATAAGCCACTGCGCCCAGCCTAACTCCCACTTATAAGTGAGAACATGTGATATTTGGTTTTCTGTTCATGCACTAGTTTGCTAAGGATAACGGCTCCAGCTGCATCCATGTTGCTACAATCTTATTTTTGTCTGGGTTGTATTCCATGGTGTATATGTAGCATATTTTCTTAATCAGTCTACTGTTGATGGACATTTATGTTGATTCCCCATCTTTGCTACTGTGAATAGTGCTGCAATAAACATATATGTGCATGTGTCTTTATCGTAGAACAATTTATATTCCTTTGGGTATATACCAAATAATGAGGTTGCTGGGTTGAATGGTATTTCTGTTTTAACTTCTTTGAGGAATCACCACACTGCTTTCCACAATGGCAGAATTGATTAACATTCCCACCAGCAGTCACCACACCTGGCCAATATCTTATGCATACATTTTCAGATACTGATGCTTCTACTGTTATTATAACAATTCACAGGATGTATATACTGGATCAGAGTGTGTGTATACACACACACACACACACACACTCTGCTCTAGTAGATACATCTATACATATATATATACGCATCATTTCAGGGAGATATAGACATATCTATACAAGTATATGTGTATCTACACATATACACATATATATCTATACATCTATACACATATATACATATGTATACATCTATACACATATATACATATGTATACATCTATATACATATATACATACACACACATATATACACATATATATGTAATTTTAGTAGGTGTTTCCACCTGCCTTCCTAGAAACAATTTAGAATTACATATTTTAACCAGAATGTATAAGAATAGGCTCTTCTCTCACCAGGAAATTTTTGTTTTGTTTTTGATTCTTTTAGTTTTGTTTGTATGATCAAATACATCACTTTGTTAACTTTTATTTCCATGATTCCTTGTGCATTTGAATATATTTTTGTATCACTGACCTATTACAATTCCATGTGTGAATTGTCTGTTAATATGTTTTGCTCATTAATTTCTATATGGTAGTTTTCTTTTCCTTCTTGAATTTTAAGAGCTCTTGGTAAATAAGAGATAACATTTGTAGAATGCTTACCACTTGCAAAATGTGATTATATTTCTTATAATTCAACAAAATTTTGTATTTCATTCAAAAGTAAAACTGTCTTACAGATTTATGATCTTTGCTTTTTGACTGTTAAGTACAAAGGTTAACCTGACATCACAAAAGGAATTGTGGAGTTTTTTTCTTTTCATATGCTTTGGAATAGCTTAAAGTATATAAATTATTCTTTAAGGGTTACGTTAAATTCATTTGTAAAGAATCCTACTACACTCTTCAACAGTACACCTTTAATAACCTACTAAATGTTTTCTGAAGTAATCAGTCTAATTTTCCACTTATTCTTATCTCAATTTTAGTGATTTGTATTGTACGAGAAAATCAAGTTTTCCAGAATTTTGCAAAATTGTTATAAAATTGCTTTTAGTTTCCACTTCATTTCTTCTGTATCTGCTGTCATGCGTCTTTTCTCATTTATCTCGTCTAGTTTTTATTCTAAGTTTTCTTTGTTATGACTGGGATAGGTTTACCTATTTTGTTAATCTTTTCAAGAGCTCACTTTTGAATGGATTATTCTTATTCAATTTTCTACGTTGAATACAATTTTTATTTTTGTTTCTATTTTTACAATTTCTTAAGATGCATACTTCTTTTATTTCCATCTTTTAAAAATCTTATGGCTATACAGTTCTCTCTGAATACAGATTTCACTATGCCTACATCATTAGAGTATGTATGAGCTATATAAATTTTACCAAGAGTTCATGAACATTTTACATTTATGTGCATTTTACCAAGAGGGAAACAGAGTATCAAAGATAAATGAAGCTTCCACAAGGTCTGATTTAAAACTATGTCTGGATAGAAGATATTTCATTAATTACATCTAGTGAATTCTCCACAAAAAGCTTTAAGAGGCTCTCTCTCCAAGTTAATAAACATTTCACACCATGATACAGACAAGGATTATTATTTATTTTGGTTGTGTTTTGTCTCTTGTACATGTCTTCTTCAAACTACCAAGGAGTGTAAGAAATGCTAATTGATAACCATGAAGACTCTAGAGGAGGGAGGTATTTGTCATGCCTGAAAGGGTATTGTTCATGGCATTTATATTACTCTTCAATGCCTCACATTGACGGTCTGGTCTGTTTTGGCCATGAATTCTCATAAGCTTGTTGCTCTTATAATGCTGTATTTCTTACTATTAGCTGTAAGTCATAACATTTTTCTGAATTCAGTACTATTTCCTCTTAAATAATCATCACCCTGCCATACAGTAACTTCTCTTTTATGTTTTTTTTTCTAATACACATTCCAGAATTATGTCTTTCAAGAATTATCAGTCTAATTGCTAAATAACTGAATGGTAAAAATATTAAAACCTTTTAAAATCTGTGTGAAGTGAATGATTACATCTGTCTACTAAGCAAAACAGAAAACATTAATATGACATGTATGTTAATGTACGAGCCTACTGTGTGTATCAGTGTTGTGACAAGCACTCTATGGTTGGAAATTAAATAGTAGGGTCACTGTGGTTACCCAAAGTTCTGCTTTCCTGTTTTGCACAATGAAAACATCTGATACCAAAATAGGTGTGAAAATTGATATTCTGTGTGAAAATGTAATAACATGCCTTGAGTTTTTGCAGAAATAAGTTAAACTACGCAGCACAATTGGCTTTTGTAGTTCCTGTCAACAGGCCTAAGATTTTACTCATAAAGTAACATGGGATGCTGTCTCAGAGTTTTACACTGTTATCTTCGGAAGTTGCTTTATTCAAATGTAATTTTGGAGGATAGAAAACCTCCATGGTTTGCTTTGACATAATGGAAACTTATTGTGACTCCAGTAGAATATTAAAATGTGAACTCTTTAGAAACACCTCAAGTTACAATAAGCAGTCTGTAAGAATTGCACATAGAAAACCTAATACATTAAATTATTCTTTAGTATGGAGTAGTCTCCTGCTGTCTATTTTAAAGGCATAGGACAAGAACTTAAGGGGGTCCCTCTTCTATCGCCAGACTAGTACTTACAATACATAATTTTGTATAACAATATATATTTAGTAATTCTAAGATTAATATATAATCATTTCAGGGAGCATTTACTTCCAGGTACTCTACCTCCTAAATGACTGGGCTATGAGGAACAATTCTCGTCATTTGCTTGTTCGAGACAGGCAAAAAACCTCGCTGTTTTCTTTTATCCCACTTTCCTTCAGGAACATGGATGTAATTTCTACCATCGTCAATATTTTATTCAAGCTAAGATTAGATATCCCATGATGGTTTACAGTAAAAGGATTTATACTTATTATATTGATATATTCAAGATTTAAGAATACTTAAGAAAAACTTAAGATGAAAGTAAACCTGAAATATGATGGTTTTCTGAAAGATTATTGACAGGAACAAGTTAGTGTTATTTTTGATTTGCTTTACAGAAAGAAGAATAGCAGACTAGGGTTCATCAAACAGAAAATAGTAAATAAGACGTCAGAATGAGGGGCATGTAACTTGAAAATAATTTCAATAACCAAGTCAAATAATGAAAATGGAAGTTCTTAGGGCAGAGCAGAAGGAGAGAGAGAAGGGAAAATGATGAATAAAACTAAGAGTTACATTCCTGTAAGATATTTACGTGTGTGTGTGTGTGTGTGTGTGTGTGTGTGTGTGTGTGTGTGTGTGTGATGTGTGGTTTGTGTATGAGAGAGAGAAAAAGACAGGTGACAAAGTTCTGACAAAGCTTTAATGAATTTTTTCATACAATTTTATTTTTGTTAGATGCAGAGAGAGATGGATGTTTAGAGTTTTGTGTATCATTTAAGCATTTGCGGTTTTAACTTGGAAGTTGCAGAAAGTTATATCTCATTCACAGGGGAACCATCATCTTTATAATATATGGTGTCTGCCTCTTCTTGCCTTTTTAGACAACCAGTGACAAGGACATTTCAGAGCTACAGGCTCTAATGAAAACACGTCCTGCGTCATTCAGCCAATTGAAATTAGACTAAAGCAGGTCGTTTCTCACATTTGTTTCAAAGGAATTGGTTCTCCCAGATCATTTCAGAGTTTGATATTTGTCCTAAGAAGGAGTCACTTTTGTTCCCTCATATGCAGTGTAAAATACAAGCATTTTTAAAATTAGCTAAGGGAGGGGGATAAGGGTAAGCTACCTTTTCACTCAGTCTTGGTGATTTTAACTAGATATGAAATGGTACAAACTATTATAAAATAATTTCACAAAAAGATTCTGAAAGGAACCCTGAAATATCCTTAAAAGTTTGAGTTGATTTCCTTAAACAGAATCTTAAACAATAACTAAAAGGGAAATCCCATGCATTGAAAATTATTATGTAAATATCCTTCCTGACACTGAAACCTCAAGCATGTACTTCCACCATCTATTTGGTTCTTTCATTTCTTTTCATTTCATTTCGTTCTCATAAAATATATATAAACCGAGAAGTTCCTTCCAACATTCTAGATAAACAGAATTTGCTTTTTAAACATGTTAAATGTCTTTTATAAGATGTCTGCCATCATGTAGCCAAGCTAAAGACTTCTCCATATTCAAGAGAAACTTCTCAAGTATTCATACAATCCTTCTAAATATAATGCATTTTAAAAAGATAAAAAATACAGGAAAGGCAAAGTAGTTTCATTGCCCTGCAGCATGTGCTTTTACACCACATTTAAGATTTACACTGTTTAAAATTTCAAGACTTATGGGCATAAATCATACCTATTTTCTTCCATTGAGAGATGCATGTATTGAATCTTTTTCTTATTAAATCATAAATACGTCGATATATACAACCTAAACGGTGGGCCATATTGCCACTGTGGACCTGGATTTCCAATGACAGCTTTTTATTCCCTTCCTTATCTCCGTATTTCAAGAATTATTTTTGATTCAGATATAGAAATTTACATTAGATAATTTTTGAAGCACATTTTGACCTCAACTATATTACAAGATTTAATTCTGGGTACTCACTACAAAGATACTATCTCTACCTTCAATGATTAAGTTTTACATATTTAGTCATTCTTTAACTATTTTTGACCACTCACTATATGCCACGCATAGAATGTTAAGAATAAATTTAAAAAATAGACTTTCAACAAATTGCTTATGGACAAGTGAAATGTTAAATTTCCTCTATATTTCAGATATGTTTATGATCACTCTGATACATTGCAGGAGAATTATTTTTAATGGAGTCATGTTTTCATTTGTTTATATACTGCCTCTTTGACAATAAAGAATTGAGGCAGTTAATACAAGTGTCTCATAATCCTAAGAAAATATGAACATTTAATGGCATGAAAGACATTAAAACAAATTTATCAAAATAGAAGTTTTGATACAGGTAATCTGGTTGAACGTATTAATAAAATGCAAACTAAACTTTTTGGGAAAGTAGCTCTTTTAACTAAACTCAACAAAATTCCTTATATAGAATATATATTAGAGGGCATTGCCTGAGTAAATGGACACTGTCCTCAATACTTTCACAATTTAGTATGAAAGATATATATACTTTCAGTATATTATTTAATTTGAATTTTTGTAATTACGTATCTTTTATCTGGCAATATAGGATGTAACTTTAACGACAAAAATCAACCCATATAGCCCCAACTTTTTAAGCTCAAGTCACGTATACTAATTTCAAGTAAAAAAAAAAAAAAAAAAGCAATAGCTACAATAAAAATCTTAAAAGATACTTGAGTGACATTATAAGAAATATTTTTAAACAGTACTATTTATAGTTATATAATTATTATCCCAGCAGACCTCCATATGTGAACATAATAGGTAACTGGCTATCTCAATTTGAAGTTGAATATACAAGAAATGTGTCAATACTAATTTCCCTTAAAGCAAGAGGTATACTAAGGGGGATGGGAAGAATAAACAACTCACCCAGAAAATTATTTTAAATGAGAACATGCTGCAATTTAAGAGTAGTTATATTACCTTGCAACTGAATGTGAGTTTAATGAATACGAGATTATGTTTGTATATTTGTATCTTCCATAACAAGTATTTTGAAAGAAGTGAACATTTACTATTAATGCATTTCGCAGATGATAAAGTGAGTCAAAGTCACGGAATCATTTGGCAAAGACCCTATAGTTGATAAGTTACAGAGTTAACAAGATCTACCTCTTCTGCAAACTTGAGAATTAATACATATAAAGTGCAAATATTTTACAGGCCTATTGTGTGGACTGACAATTTTGTGTAAGAAATACTTGTCTAACAAATTAAATTTGGAATTTGTACTTAAATACTAGATTTTATGAGTAATAAATAGAAGTAGTTTATAGTCAAATATATTCTGACATGCTCCAAAATATGTATTATATGGCTATTTAAGTTTCTGAATACTTAAAGGACACATAAAATACTAGTTTTAAAGAACATTTTAGAATCCTCTTTATCTAACATTATATGCCAGCATGTGAACAGTATATCATTTTTCAGATCAGTGACATCTGACAACCATTCAATCTAATTCAGTGACTATTTTCAATGATGGGGTTAAGTGAATATTTGAACATAGCTGTCATCTGAATTTCCACCCTAGGCTTTTTAAATACTCACCTTGGATTTGTGATTTAATGTATAGCAATGACTATTTGCTTTGTAGTATCCCACATTGTAGATTTGAAGTTACTTGGTAAAAACTTACCACCTTGTGATAGACAATTGATGAGCTGGTACAATGAACATAATTATTAGATCTACAACTGTGTCAGTTAATATTAAATTATATTAAGTCAGCGAAGTCTTGGTAATGTTCCTAGGGTATATTTCAACACTATACCTTTTGTATGAATCTTTATAAAAGGGATCGGAATTCATAAAATGTAAGCAAGGAAATCATAAGAGGGAAGACGAGGACACAAGCTTGGAGAAAGGAAGACAGATCATAATACATCTTGGGGAGCGGGGGGTAGTTTAAAGCACCACAGTTAAATCTCTATCAAATTTGTAATTTCTAAGTTCCTTTACCAGACAAAAAATTAATCATTAAACTAGACACAAAATTATTAAAAGTGCAAATATCTAATAGAGAATACTCACTGATTAGAACTTAGTTATATCCAAGGAAAGTTTAAATTACCCATTAAATATCTTTGAGAGAATAGAGTTAAGTGTAGAACTGAATTTAAAATGCCTAATGAAAGGCACTACTTACAAACAAAAGTGGGACAGGGCAAAGAAATAATAGAATGGCTGTATAAGAGATGTTTCATCCTAGCTGGGATTTGCTTTACCTTCAAAAACTTGTAAATAAAAAGAAGCTGTGGATACATTTTTACCTAGAGCTGATGTAGAGACAAGAATAACCACTTAGTAGCATAGTCTCCCATTTCTCAGGATTTTGTATTTTGTTCGCTTTTTAAAATCACAACCAACTATTACAAATGAGCTTTGCTCTCAGCAAATACCGCAATAAAGTTATCACTGCACTTAGAAGTACTTTCTTCTCAATAAGTGGCTTTCCAAAATACATTATTGACAGCAGGGATAACTTCATGCTAAAACAGCCACCACAAAGAATGCAAATTGGAACACAGACGTAGTGTCTGAGCTCTACAGATATAAGCTGAGTGGCATTCAAGTGAGGATAACAGGTTAAACGCCAGGACAGGGAAAGGAAAGAAACTGAGGAACAGGGTTAAACTGAGGAGCTAGTTTAGAACTACAGAATATGCTAGAACTAGTGATTTATGGCAGAGGGACAGGCTAAAATGGAGGAGACCCTAAGGAAAAGAGAGAAGACAAAATGACCTTGACTTAATGATCCAGAAATTACCAAAAAGTATCATTTTGAAAAGACACTTCTAATATTCCTTTAAAAATCAGAGGGCTAAATTTTGAGTGATTTTTTTAAACCAGGGTTTCTTTTCATAGGTTTATAGAATTAGGAGGCTGTTCATATGATTTTCTATTAGCAATTATCAATTTCTTGGTGTGTGGACAAACTTATCACTGGTATTCAAAAAAAAATTTTTTTTTTTGGAGACAAGTCTTGCTCGATCCCCCAGACTAGAGTGCAGTGGTATGATCACCTCTCAGTGCAACCTCCGCCTCATGGGTTCAAGTGATTCTCATGCCTCAGCCTCCCCAGTAGCTGGAATTACAGGCGCCAGCCACCACACCCGTCTAATTTTTTTTTTTTTAGTAGAGACGGGGTTTTGCCATGTTGGCCAGGATGGTCTCGAACTCCTGACCTCAGGTGATCTGCCCGCCCCAGCCTCCCAAAGTGCTGGGATTACAGGTGTGAGCCACCACGCTCGGCCTCAACTTCATTTTTTATAATAAACATATATGTATTTCTGTGTAAAACCCGTTTTTGGTTTCTATATCTCATACTTAATATTTCCCTTCCATTTTTAAACTGCATACATTTGTTTTTCTCCCTCCTTGTCTGGATCACATTCATAAGATATTAATCTATTTCATATTATAAGGAACTAGCTGTATATTTTATCTAGTGTTTCTTCTATTTCTTTATCTTTAGTTCCTGCTTTCCTTAAAGCATTTTTGTAACATTTTTATTTGAAAGCTTGATTCAATTTATCTTTTTAATGAAGATCAAAATCAAAGACAAAAATTCAAACTCTCAGTACAGCCTGAGCCATTTCTCATGGGTTTTCATATGGAATGCTTTTTCCTTCACAAATGTAGTTTTATACTCTTGGTTTAACAAACCTTAATCAAACTTAATTTATAAGTATATTATTAGTTTCTACTGTTATTAAATAACATGAATTTTGAAAGTTTGTGTGTATTTAATGACATTTTCACTGCATTCAAATATATTGCCCGTTTATAATTTGTGTATGTGGCAGGAAATTTTTTTTACTATTTTCCTAAGCCTTTAACAAGTTTACGACGAAGAGCAGATATCCGAAGTGACTCTCAGCGTGTCTTTCTTTTCTGGCTCTGGTTGTCTCCAGAAGAATAGGAAGGAGTCCTTAGTCCCCAAATTAGCCAGAAACCACGTCTACTCTCTGTCATCAAATAGAAGTGGTATGGCCTCAAAGGTGACTGGCTTCCTGATGCATCCAACAAGACTGGGCCCTAGCCAACATCAGAGTTCTCGGCATGCAGATTCTCAAGTCCTCATTTCGCACAGAAACAAAACAGAACTAGATACCTGGAATGCCGATTATACCGTTTTCCACTCCTACTTCACTAACCCACCAAACTTCTTCACCTCTTCTTTGTATGTGATGACTACATCACCTGGAATCTCTTAACCTTGGACTTCTGGTTAGACTAAACTAAGGAGCGGCACTGGCAAAACACTGGAGGATTCTATGGAGAGACTAAGGTATCACTTCTCTCAACTTCACCAGGCAATGATTTGAAACTAACAGCATTCTTTAGATACCTAGGGGCTCAGTTCACAGTTGTGTCCAGTGGCGCTCTCCCAACATGAGGGATTTTATCAAATTAATAGCCCTCTCCCCTTGACTGCTTAGGTTTAGATGTAGTAAAGGTTATTAACTCATGTGAATCCCTGCATTCTTCACCATAGTTTCTTCCTTTAATCCTCCCCACGTTTCTATAAATATTCCCCTGATTACACTCTCTTCAACTTTTTCTGTATGCCACGTGTTTAATATCAGGACAGTTAATACACTTGACTTCACAAGATACCTTAAAATTGTATAGTGAATGTATCACTTGGTTGCCTCAATGAACTGAAAATGAAAATGCTTTTGCCCTATGAAAGACACCATGTGGATCTACTGAGCTCTGGCCATTCCATAGGCTCAGGGGAGAGCATTCCCAATAATGACAGACATACGATTTTCTGAATGCCTTGTTGAGAGTTCAGACTTGAATTTAGTTAATGTAACTGAAATTTTTAAACTATTGCTCTTCTTGCACATCCAACTTCATAGGGAGATTTATTGATAATGCTCATATTTTATAGAAGTATCTACTATGCTTTAGTGTTGAGATACAGAAAATCACTATTAAACCTACAGTTATTTGTACTCTCAATCTTTTGCTGTTAAATATGTCATAAACTTGACAGTGGTGAATTAATGGCTCTAAAAATATATTTCCATCAATTTTTCTTCATGGATTTAGCAGCATTTCTACTGTGCGATACGTTTTCGTTATTGACTGTAACTTTCTTGAATAAAATGACACTCTAAGTTTGTTAGTATTCTATCACTGATTTTTCATTTTGTCTGATTTTTCCTGTTTTATATTTTTTATTATTCTTTAAGTTCTGGGGTACATGTGCAGGTTTGTTACATAGTTATACACCTGCGATAGTGGTTTGCTGTACCCATAGACCCGTCACCTACATTAGGTATTTCTCCTAATTCTATCCCTCCCCTAGCCCCCCACCCTCTGACAGGCCATGGTGTGTGACGTTCCCCTCCTAATGTCCATATGTTCTCATTGTTCAGCTACCACTTATGAGTCAGAACATGCGGTGTTTGGTTTTCTGTTCTTGTGTTAGTTTGCTGAGAATGATGGTTTCCAGCTTCATCCATGTCCCTGCAAAGGACATGAACTCATTCTTTTTTTATGGCTGCATAGTATTCCATGGTGTATATGTACCACATTTTCTTAATCCAGTCTATCACTGATGGACATTTGGCCAACATACATACGAAAAAATGCTTATCACTTGTCATTAGAAAAATGCAAATCAAAACCACAATGAGATACCATTTAACAACAGTTAGAATGGCAATCATTAAAAAGTCAGCAAAAGATGCTGGAGAGAATATGGAGAAATAGGAATGCTTTTACACTGTTGGTGGGAATGTAAATTAGTTCAACCATTGTGGAAGACAGTGTGGTGATTCCTCAAGGATCTGGAACTAGAAATACCATTTGACCCAGCAATCCTGTTACTGGGTATATATCCAAAGGATTATAAATCATTCTACTATGAAGACACATGCACACATCTGTTCATTGTGGCACTATTCACAATAGCAAAGACTTGGAACTATTACTGATTTTTAAAATAACCTGACTTATGACCCATTTAATTTCTAGTAGTGTTTTTTTAGTCATTGTCATCTCATTTAGACCTGAGTCCAAATGCCAACAATGGCTCACCATGCTTTCTTCTTCTCACCCCCACCTTACTACCTCTCTGCTCCCCTATCTCTGCTATGTTTCCTTTATCTCTAAACTCACTCTACTCCACTTGCTGAGGCCTCATTCCAAATGCTTTTTCACCTTAAGGTCTTTATTACCGTGCCTAACCCACCTTCCTATAGACAATTCCAAGGCTCACTCCCTTTCTCCAGGTCTCTGCTCATATAGGAACTGAACCAAAAGGTCTTCTCAGACCTCTTATTCTATGTATCTCTTTTTTATTCACTTAACTGTTCCTAAGTATATATGCTTCATATTGCCTACCATGTGGCTGTAATCTCTGACACACAAAGGGTTGTGTTTGCTCTGACACCAATCAATCAACTTATATACCTGTGAATTTTAAAAGGAAATTTGGATAGGACTTCTTCAATGTGATTATTTATATCCTGCACAGGCTTATTGATATAGAACACACCCAAGCTCAACTTTAGAAAAAAAATCCTGCTTGAGCATTTTGATTTATTCTTCCTAATAAGCAAACTAAAGTTGTACTTATGGATGTTTTCCATTTTTGTTTATACTTATGACAAAATGGAGAATTATAAGATAATGCATTTTTTTTTTTTCACTCTGTGGCCAGGCTGGAGTGCAGTGGCACGATCTCCACTCACTGCAACCTCTGCTCCCAGGTTCACGTGATTCTCCTGCCTCAGCCTCATGAGTAGCTGGGACTACAGATGCACACCACCACGCTCAGCTAATTTTTGTGTTTTTAGTAGAGATGGGGTTTCACCATGTTGGCCAGGATGGTCTCAATTTCTTGACATCATGATCCACCCGCCTGGACCACCCAAAGTGCTGGTATTACAGGCATGAGCCACCGCGCCCAGCCTAGATTTACTTTTGAAAATCCATGTGTTATTGTTCAGCCACAGGCTAAGGTAAAGGTTCCTTTGTTCCAAGTTTGGTTTCTGCATGAGAATGTCTTGAGGTTTTGTCCTCTAACGCATAGGCCAGCATCTTATGCAGCTCCCCATTAAAGCTCTAGCTCAGATGAAAGCATTGTTAATATCTGCTTTTGAACAACTCCTTCTCAAATTTAAGCCATTATTTTGGGGCCTTTTCCCTACTAAAACATTAGGAGGTTCTATATTTTCTGTAAGAAATGTGGCCTTCCCTGAAGAGATTCATATGACATCATATTCTAATTTTATATTCACTTATATTCATTTAATAATTTCATTAGAAAACATGGGGTCTATGATCAGATTTCTATATATGGCCCGTGGAGTTTCGGAGGTTTTAAGTTCCCTTCATAAGTTCCTCTTTTAATTGAAGTGGAATATGCATATAGAAAAATATACATAAGTGTACAACTTGATGCGTTTTCTTACAGTAAATACACATGTGTAACAGCTATCAGGTCAAAACATGGAACAGTGAGCACCGCAGAAGATTCTCTTATGCGTTTTACTGACTTACTCCTTCCAAAAGTTAACCACTCTCTTCAATTTTAAACCCATGGAAACATTTTGCCCGTTTTTGAAATTTAATTGAAAGAAATCATAGTAGGTATAATTTGTCTGATTTATTTCACTCAAATACATTTTAACGACTTCATCTTGTATATTGTGTGTAGCTATCATTTGGTCATTTTCATTGCTCTGTAATATCCCATCATGAGAATGTATCATAGTCACTTCCAGTTTGGGCTATCACAAATGAAACTGCTATGAACATTCTCACATATATATGTGTTTTTGGCAAACTGGGAAATGTATTTCTGTAACTTGTATGTCTACAATAGAATTGCTGGGTGGTAAGAAATGTGCATTTTCACATTTAGTAGATCATGCCCAACTCTTTAATTAGTTGCCTGAATTATATTTCCAGAAGTTAATTGTGAGATTTCCAGTTGATCCATGTCCTCATCAACATTTGGCATTAGTAGTCTAGTTCAGTCATTTTGGTAATTTTGTACTGGTATCTCATTACAGCTCTAATTTAAATTTCCTCAAGTTACTGCTGAGGTTAAACATTTCTTAAATATGATTCTTGAATTTGTGAACACCTTTTGTGTTCCTGTTCAATTTCAGTTTCTCATTCTAGAAAACCTAAAATTTAAAAAAAAAATCAAGAAAAACAGAAGACTGGGATACTCCATATGTAAATGTGTCAGTTATTCTCTATAGATTTAACTCAATGTTAATCATACTTAAAATGAATGTACATGTAAATGGAAAAGATTACAAAACAAATACAAAAATAGAAAGGGCCAATAACCAATAAAATCTCGAACAAAGTGGGAGAACCTAGTTCACCAGATACTAGGCTGTATTATAAAACTACATTACTCCACATTACATGATATTTGTGTGTGTAGAGAGAGAGAGAACAATGCAAGAGAATTGAAGTGCAAAAACAGACCCACATATGTACGGACAAATTTTTAATGACACACTTAGTACTGTGAAGCAATGAGGAAGCATTATTTTTAATAAATGGTGTGTTAATTAGACTTCAAATAAAATAAATACTGAGTCTTAACCTATTCCTCACACCATATGCAATAATCAATTTCAGGTAAAACAGATCCAAAAACAAAATGGTAAAACGATAATGGTTCTATAGATAATAACCTAATATAGTATCATAATGGCTTTGGGTAGGCCAGTATTTCTTCAACAGGTCATAAAAATATAAAGTTTTAAAGAATAAACTATATCCAAGTGGAGAACTTGTTTTTATTAATATTAACCATTGAAGTGAGTAAAAAGGTAATCCACAGAAAAGGAAAATACATTTGCAACTCAAAACAAAGGGCTCATATCCAGAATATAGCAATAACTCAATTTTGATGAAGTCCAAGTTAACTTTTCTCTTTTTGAAACATGCTTTGGATTCAGGTATCATAAATACTTGCCTATCCCAAAGTCATATAAATTTCCTTCTATATGTTTTATTGCCAGGATTTTTCTGGTTCCCTTGGAGTAGGCAGATAGCCAGAAATGAGCAGGCAAGGGAGCCCCATTGAGAAAAGAAGTCCTGAAGATGCTGTTTCACTGAGTCAGTGCTGCCTGTTGACAATCAGCGAAACGGACAATGAATACACACACTGTCCACACTGATTATGTCTAGCCTTGTGGTTGGGCTCCTCTAGCCCCAAAGGGGACTTCTCAGGCCCTCGCCAGAGATAACCACGCTAGGGATTTTCCCCACTGACAAGCATGCACACACTCCTCCAAAAACTTGCCCTATTCTTTTGCTCATTGTAATAGTGTAAACAAACAAACAAACAAAAAAACCCACACACCCCTGGGTGGAGATTTTAGATGCCAATGAGATGTGGTATGTGTGCTAGCATGTACAACCAGAGCATGTGTGCCCAAAAAACCTCCCAAAACATACTTGCAAGTAAGACCCCCCCCATACACCCTTTCATGATTTATCACGTAGGAGTCTCAAAGTTCCCCAGCACTAGCTGCTGCTGGCTCTTTGTTCCCTTGTGTTCGTGTGCATTCAGTGTTTAGCTCGTACTTATTGAGAATATGTGTTATTCGGTTTTCTGTTTCTGTGTTAGTTTACTTAGGATAATGACCTCCAGACTCATCCATGTTGCTGCAAAGGACATGATCTAATTCTTTTCTGTGGCTGCATAGTATTGTATTTCATGCTGTATATGTACCAAATTATTATTATTTTTTTTTTTGATATGGAATCTCGCTCTGCCTCCCAGGCTGGAGTGCAGTGGCACGATCTCCACTCACTGCAACCTCAGCCTCTGGGTTCAAGCAATTCTCCTACCTCAGCCTCCCGAGTAGCTGGGATTACAGGCATGCACCAGCATACTCAGCTAATTTTTGTATTTTTTAGTAGAGACGGGGTTTCGCCATGGTGGCCAGGCTGGTCTCGAACTCCTGACCTCTGGTGATCTGCCAGCCTCGGCCTCCCACAGTGCTGGGATTACAGGCATGAGCACCGCGCCCGACCTGTACCGCATTTTCTTTATGCAGGATTGAGTTTTACAGGATATCCCAAAGTTTGTTTTTTTAAATGACATTTTCTTGCTGGGGACAGTCAAGCTACAAATAAATTAAATCTAATAATTCTGTGTTCCGCTCTTTTCTTCACTGCTACATTTTGAAACAGAATATGATATTTTGATATTTCAAAGACATTTTCTTTGTGTAACTTTAATATTGTTAACAATTCTCATAATGTCAATGACACTGATATTTCCAAAGAGTCCATCGGACTAATAAACAAGAAAATCAGCTCATAGATTATTCTGGCTGCGGAGTGAAAAATCTAGTTAATTTCTTCCTAAGACAAACATCTCTGTAAAATAACTTTCATAGGTTAAAGGTGACAATGACCCTGAATTCATAAAATCAGCCAATTAATTGCTGCACAGTTTCCATTTCCATATCTTATGTAATGTCATCTCCCTGCCAGATAAGCTGAGCAACATTTGGGGGAGTACATGTTATTATTAATCTATCCCTGCTTATGGTTATTTTAAGAGTAAGTGATCAACGTACTCAATGTACTTGAGTTTATCTTTGAAAGAGAGAGGTAATGTAATTAGGGAGCTACTAAGTGCCTGGTGAAATGTATTGGTCGATTAGACAGATTTTAGGATGTTAATAAGAAAGGAAGGCTGCCTCCAATGCCATGACACAGGGGAAGAGTCACCAAGTGGTTCAGAGGAGATTAGAATTCCTCTGACCTGCCTACTTGGTTTAGCTGTGACTGTTTACTTCTTCTAATGCAACACACGTATTTTAATCCAGTTAAATCTAAACCAAAAAAACAAATCTGCCATTCATACCCCAAGTAAAAATAGTGATGTTTCTGTATAATTTATATGCTTGGAGACAGCGTTTAATAAGTGTTGGCTTGATTTAAACAAACATCATTATCAGGTTTGAACACATTTAGTACATAAATATTTGGTATAGAAAAATCCGTTTGTTGCACAAAACACTGCCGTAAGAAACAGAGTTCACCGGGCACGGTGGCTCACGCCTGTAATCTCAGCACTTCGGGAGGCTGAGGCAGGTGGATCACCTGAGGTCAGGAGTTCGAGACTAGCCTTGGCCAACATGGTGAAACCCTGTCTCTACTAAAAATACAAAAATTAGCTGGCCATAGTGGCATGTGCCTGTAATCCCAGCTACTCGGGAGGCTGAGACAGGAGAATAGCTTAAACCTGGAAGGCAGAGTTTGCAGTGAGCCGAGATCACGCCACTGCACTCCAGCCTGGGACAGAAGAGCGAGACTCCATCTCAAAAAAAAAAAAAAAGAAAAGAAAAGAAAAGAAAAGAAAAAAGAAAAAGAAAAGCAAAGTAAGAAAAGAAACCGAGTTGACTGCAGGACTTTGTCCACCAAACACAGCTTCATGAAGTAAAATCTGAAAACAGGGAGCAGCCTATCAGGTCAGGTCTATGTCTTTTCCCTTCCCTCTGTGGCAGCATGCATTTGCTTCCTGAATTATATTAGCCACAATCAGGCATACACGAATTACAACATGTGCTCTCAGTAAGAACTGGTCTGATTTACAAGAGAATTTGAAATACTTTCTCTGCATTTGGGGCCAAAGCCCTCACTCAAACATGAAGCATGCTGTGTCACAGCATCCAGACCTTGTCCAGGGTACTACTTACATTATTGTTCTGCAAAACCCGCAGTGCCTTGTTGACATTGTTCAGGGCATGAACTCTTGTGGATCCTTTTTCTTTTGGCTGAGAACAAAACAAAAGAGTGTTCACTGACCAGCAGAGAGACCGACAATCTACTAGAAATGAAACCATTTATAATTTCACTATTAAGCTTGAATATTGTAAACGAACAGAGCCTGTGAGGCATTAATATAATGAATCTAAATACTTTGCGCTAATTGTCCTTGGCCTGGTACGTTTTTAGCATAAACCAACCACTCTAAGAATGGCAACACTTTTTCTTTACAAAGCCTATTTTGGTATGATTGTTTCTTCATTCTATAGCCCAGTTGGGGATTACTGCATGACCACCAATGACAGAAACATCAGCATGCATAAAAACATTTTCTAGTAAGATAGAAAAACAATTCCCAAACTTTTTAGAAAAATCTAAAGGAGATTTGACTCTAGCAAAATTATATAATGCCAAATAGGGTTAAAGGAAACCTTTTCTGTGAAGATTACCTTAATTGTCCTTGTCACTGAAGCTCTAAACCTCAATCACTTTGGTTCCCTAATTTTATTCTCAATCCCAAAAGTTGTATCTTATCCTGTAATTTTTAAACCAACATCTGCATAGTTCATTGTAATATACAAATTAACTCATTTATTAAGTTGTAGAGTTTTAGAAATTCTACCATTATGATAACCTGTTTTATTTACTCTCATTTTCATTTCTTTTACCTTACTACAAGCCCTTATTAGCTATTGCCCAGAGAAATCTAACCTCTTTCCCTTCTCCACTCACTCACCATTTTTTTCATCCTTCCTTCATACCATCAACAATGACGTTCCTGAAGTAAGCCCACTGCCAATGCAAACCACTTGCAAAGTTCTCACCTAAACATTTGGGTGATTATAGGTAACAGTTAAGGGCAAGAGCTACAAAGCTGACTGCCTGGGTTCAATTGTCAGCTCTGCTGTTTTTGTGCTGTCTGGCCTACATAAAAAATTTAATCTCCCTGTATACCAGTTTTCTCATCTGTTAAAAATGGACTTAATGAAAATATTAGCAAGAGGCATACACAAGTTACAACATGTGCTCTCAATAACAACTGCTCTGATTTACAAGAGAATTCGACATACTTTCTTCTCTGCATTTGAGGTCAAAGCCCTCACTCAAACATGAAGCATGCTGTCTCACAGGATCCAGACCTTGTCCAGGGCACTACTTATTGTTCATATTGCTCAAACCATTGTACATATGGTTTCTGGCAGAATTCAGTGTGTCGATATGCATAAAGCACTAAGATTGGTGCTTGTCACATAGTTGGTCCAACATAAATATTATTGACTTCGTAGTATGTGCCAAGTACTTTGAATGCACTACCTTTAATCCCCGCCTTGCAAGGCAGTTAGTTTCATCCCTATTGTACAGAAGTGAACCTCAGGTTAAAATATCTAATATATAGATTACCATATAACTAATAATTGGTGGAGCCAGGACCCAAACTTTTGTCTGTGTCTGTAGAGCCCCAGTCTTGCAAATTTATTTCCTTCTTCTCTAACTACCTTGTGCATGCACCAAACAAATATCTATATTTCTGTGTCTTGCATTTAACTCCTATACTTTCCAGCAAAGCTCCTGGTCTTTCTCAAGTAGTTCCTCACCCTAGAACTCCTTATCATTTGCACTGCCTGCTGAACAACCCAAATTAAGCTAAAGCCATCTTACTCTCCAAGGTAACTTGCCTGATATCCTTTATAACACAGTATTGACATCTTGTTCCTTTGATTTCACAAAACATTAAGGCTAACCTTATGAACCAGAATCTCCATTTTTACCTCTTAGATTTTCCTCCAAGAATGTCAGAATGATGTTGGTTTACATTCTGATATTTCTCCCACTTTCCACCAAAAAGAGGAAAAAAATAAGACTTTAGATTTAAAAAAAAAAAAAAAAAAAAAAAAGCAACAGCCAGACATTTGGGGAGGCTGAGGCAGGTGGCTCATTGAGATCAGGAGCTCAAGACCAGCCTGGCCAACATGGTGAAACCCCATGTCTACTAAAAATACAAAACTTAGCCAGGCATGATGGAACATGCCTGTAGTCTCAGCTACTTGGGAGGCCGAGGCAGGAAAATTGCTTGAACCCAGGAGGCAGAGGTTGCAGTGAGCCAAGATCATGTCGCTGACTCCAGCCTGGGCGACAGAGTAAGATTCCATCAAAATAAAAAAAAAATACATGAAAGAAAAACAGCAAATAACCAATCTTCTTGTGTATATATAGATTGACAGTATACAAGTTTAATGGTAATTATAGGACTTTAAAGTTTTGAAAATAATTACTCAAATCAGTTCTCTGCCTAGTAGTTAGACCAAAGCCACATATTTCCTTTCAATTATGTAATTATATAGTCACAAGATTTAGCAAAATTTTCCTTTGTATCATATTCAAACATTAAATGTACACATGTGCATATGTATTAGAACCAAACATAGTCTACTCTTTTAAAAAGCTGCAGTTTCTGATCCTGAAGTGGGAACTTAAAATCTGCCCCTATTAGAGTCTCCTTGGGGAGTATTTCTTATTTTATGATTGTAAGGCAAGTACCTTCCTTTTAACCCTGGGGATGTCCTGAGCCAATAATCCAAATGCAGATGCTTCTGAGTAGAATACTAAAATTTCTGTTCTATAGTATACATGCCTCCCATTAGGAGTAGAAGATATATCTCTACAGAAACTATTAGAATTCAAGACAAGGCATAGCGAATTGGAGTTCTGGGATCGGGAGCATTTGTTAGAGGTGATTCTGCTTTATGAGAAAGGCAAAATCCTCAGACCAGGGCTGACAGATCTGTGATTAGGACAAACAATGGTGAATGGATTCTGTTAGTAGCAGTATCTGAAATTATGTAATCTACACTGCCATGTGTAAATGTTTGGTGATTTTTCCCTACCACTAGCTTACCTTATACTGGCCAATCTCATGGATATTTTGTTTGATATTTTTTTCTTTAATGCTATTACTAATTAGGTTCATTTTGTCTTAGCGTCTATGTATGTATATGCATAAATGCAAATCATGTGGATTTTTTAATTTTGCCGAAATTAGTGGTTTTTTCTTTATATCAAATGGGTAGTGTGCCAACATCATAAGTTTAGAGAAAGGCTTATCTCATATCTGAGTATAAACACCCAAATCATGCTTATGAATTACGAAAGGATCTGAAATTCATTATCTTAAACATTATGTATGAAATTTGTTAACCCTGACTAAATTGCTTTGGGTGATAGATGGATTGACTCAGTCAGGGAAATGACCAGAGGATTGCAACACAGGAGAAGTGATCACGCAGATACCTGGAAGTGAAGAGACAACAGCCTCCTAACAGAGGGCCAGGACAAGATGAGTAAGCCATAATCTTTGAAAGATTTTTCACGAACATTTGGAAGACACTGGGACTTCTGTATTCGGTAACAAAGTAGGACTGACTTCAGAATACAGGAGAAACGAGATACACAGACACACTGATTTCTGTACATATGCTACGTATCCATATATATGTAAATTGTTCACAGTCATAGGAGATGAATTACACACAAATCTATCTCTAACTAGTGAAATTAAGACCAAGTTTACATGATGACCTCAAATTGGCGCCCAGCAAACAGTTCAGCTATAAGGTATTAAATCTGATTTTCCCCCTTGACTAAAGTTATTATTTCAATATGTCATCAAGTTGTTCTTCTATTAGTACAAGTTCAGACTTCTTGAAAAAAATGGATCCGTTTTAGTATTAATCTCACATAGCTGAAGATAAAAAATGAAAGCATAGGTATGTCTCTTCTGTATAGGACTTCAGAATTTAATTGAGGAGGGATGTCAGTCATACATACACTAAAAACAAGACAAAAATGGGCCTTCTGTGGAATTTGGGAGGGAAAAATTAGCAAAGGTAATTTGGGAAAAGCTTTACTGAGGTGAAATCAAGGTTTCTGGCAGACAGTTGGGGTAGACAGAAGTACAAAAAGAAATACAGGCAAGTAAAATAATACAGGCAAAAACCCAGAGATATCTGACAATATATACCGAGAAAAGAGTGGCTTAGCGTTAAGTGTTACAGGAGGCAGGCTGGGGTAGATAGGATTTTTGCTAACTGACTTTGAACGACAGCTTCAGTTTGTATAATATGACAAAATCTGTGTGTGTCTGTGTGTGTATGTGCATGTGCTGGGGAGTTGTAATGAAGGGCAAAGATAAGAGACGAAGGCTATGATTTAGCAGAATTTGATAGGTAGAACAGTTATTTATGACTATAGACTGGGGGCTTAAACTCTACTTTTTAGAATAGCAATCTAAGACGATTATTTCAGTCAGGGGATTTCAATTTGAGTTCTTTCCCCCCCCAGTGTAAGACCTTGATCAACATGACTTCACTGATCTGTAATCATGTATATCAATCATGTATCTTCACAGGAATGCTCTGAAGTTAGACAAGATAATAGTTCAAGAGGAAGTGATATTTTCATCACATATGCTATCACGTATTACACTATAATGCCTGTACCTTATTTTGCTATCCCACATGTATAAACTCATACAGGTTCCTTGTAAAATAACTTCAAAAATACACAAAAGTACAAAGATAATTTCTCAAGTCATTATGTATAAAAGCCTTCATTAAGATATTTGATAAGATAGATACCAAGTAGTAAAACTGAATAATATCTATTAATATAAATTGTATTACTGAAATTTTTACTTTTTCTGCAGGCGGTAGAGTATGCCAAATGAAAATCATACGAGGTTGCTTTACTAAGGAATAGGTATTGCTGTTTCAATCAGTACCTAGTCATTCTACTAGATGTCATAAAACTATGTTGTCAGTTTCTGGTCTGAAATTCTACTAAGTTTAAAGTTAACTTTCTTAAAAATAAGTCACATACCAGTTTTTGCCCTGTCAGGCCTTCGAGGAGGTCTAGGAGGCGCCTCCCATCCTGTAGGTCACTGAAGAGGTTCTCAATATGCTGCTTCCCAAACTGAAATTAAAAAAAATACACTCAATTTAACAAAGCACACTTCCAATGATACATTTTCACGATTATCCCCTTTTGAAAACTAAAGCTATATTTAAGGATAATTAGTGTGCATAATTAATCTGCCGAAGATGACGGATGAAAAAAGGAAAGTTCAAATGACAAAAAAAATTTAAAAATTTTATCATAGGTCAAGTCTATTTGAATTAGTTTGAATAGCAAGAGTAAGAGATTTATACCCTAAATGATCTAATTAATTCACTGAAATGAATATAGATTCTATGAAGGAGAGAAAAAATACAGGCATGATCAAGGCAGTTACGGGTAAAGGGAAAAGTAAATACACAAAGAAGCAAAAGACCACAATCTACCTGGGTGGGTACATAAAGTTTAACCATTCTTGGAATATACCAGTCAGAGTGGTTCGACATCCTTATCACTCAAAACATGCTTGCTGTGCATACACATTTTGCATGCTATGACCTATTCTCATACTGGATAACTCAAATTTTAGGAATATCGGGTTTAATTAGGTTTGAAACAACCCTGTGAGAGCTTTTCATCTATTTTACTCAGTTCTTTGCTCAGGAATTATACTAAGGAAAAATAATAGTCAATAAATAATATTTAACATTTTTAACGTAAATACTCATGAGACACACTATTAAATGAGTGGATTTCATAACCGTTGTGGCATTTCTGAGATTAGCAGTAACATACTTAACCTCTAAGTATCTCATGTAAGATGAGTATGTGGCTCTTTGTCATGAAACTAGAATGGGGTAAAGCCAAAATTATGGCTCAGATCTGTCTAATTCTGGGTTCTTGTTCTTTCAATCTTATGTTGCTTCCTTGTCCTTTTATAACCTACTATTTGATTATCTTTCTAACATTTGTCTTTCTTTTGTCATACTTCACCAAATCGTTTTCTGCTTAAAACCCTACAATCCCCTCATGAGGTAATTCCCAGCTTTTTCATCACCTATCTGGAAATCCCTAATTTAATCAGTCAAAGACATATTGAGCATGAATAAACCTGAGCTAGGTACTGAATCATATGCTAGTACATCAGACATAGGCCCAGACCCTATAGAACTTAGAGTCCAGCAAAGAAAATATTCCTAAAAGGTACTATTACATAGAAGCATTAGAAAGGACTAAAGAACATGTAACAGTGGGAGCTCTCACAAGCCTTGGGATCAACAAATACTTTCCAAAAAACGTCAGGTGATGGGTCTAACATTAGCCTTTGGGTGACTGTGCTCTTTACATACACTCCTTGGATCACATATAAACTTTGAATTTCACACAAGTCAAGAAAATCCCTGGTTTCCAGGCAAAAGACATCCCTTAAACTTCCACGATTAAAAACATAGGATTTAGACTATTCCTACAACCAGGTAGCCATGTCAATGACAAGACCTGTAAATGCCCGGGTACTTCAAGCAGGGAACAATGATACCTGCGGCAACCAACCAGTCCCTGTGTGCCCAGCTTTGTGAATCCAGCCACATATATACTTAGACAAAAATTATGAGTTATTCTTTTGAAATTCTACTCAAATAGATCCATTTTCAAATTCCATGGGAAAAAGAACATAACACAAAACCCTAACATGCTAGAATTTTTAAAGAATAGCTTTACTAGGAGGGAGGCAGAACAAGACGGTCAAATACATGGAACCTTCCAGCAATCATCTTTCCCGCTACCGCTGCTATAGAAACACCAAACTGAACAGATAGCCACACAAGCAAGCACCTACATAAAAACCAAAAATCAAGTGAGCAATCACAGTACTTGATTTTAATATCATATCAAGGAAAGAGGCACTGAAGATGGTAGGAAAGACAGTTACGAATTGCCAACACCACCCCTCCCCCATCCCCTGGCAGAGGCCATGTCTCATGTAGACGATCTGTGTGCTTGCAGGAGGGAGGGCGCAGGATTGTGAAACGTTGCATTGGAACCCAGTGCTGCCCTGTCACAGTGGGAAGCAACACAGGGCAGAATTCATCAAGCGCACATAGAGGGCACATTTAGACCAGCCCTATCCAGGGAGGTATCACCCATCTCAGCAGTTAGAAGCTGAGTTCCAGCTAGTCTCACCAGTGTGAGCTCAAGCACTTTGGGGTCCTAAATAAACTTCAAAGGGAGTCTAGGCTACAAAAACTGCAATTCCTGGGCAAGTCTTGGTGTCGTGCTGGACTCGAAGTCAGGGGACTTGGTGGGCACACAACCCAGTAAGACACCAGTGCTTGTACCACCCCATCCTCTAACCCCTAACAGTGCAGCTGACAGCTTTGAGAGAGACTGCTTCTTCCACTTGAGGAGAGGATAGGGACAGTAAAGATGACATTGTCTTGCAACTTGGACACAAGCTCAACCACAGTAGGATAAGGCATCAGGCAGAGTCCTGAGACCCCCCATTCCAGGCCCTGGCTCCTGAGTGACATTCTTAAATACACCCAGGGCCAGAAGGGAACTTGCTACCTTGAAGAGAAGAATCCAGTCCTGGTAGAATTCGTCACCTGCTGACTAAAGAGTCCCTGGGTCCTGAATAAGCAGCAGTAGTAGCCAGGCAGTATTCACCAAGTCTTGGGTAAGACTCAGAGCCATGCTGTCTTTGGGTGTGGCCCAATGCATTCCCAAGTGTGGTGGCCATGGGGATATACTCCTTGTGCTTTTGGAAAGGAGAGGCAATAGAGTGGACTTTGTCTTGCAGCTTGGGTACTAGCTCAACCACAGTCAGGTAGACCATCAAGCAAGCTCCTGGGTTCTCTGATTGCAGGCCTTGGCTCCTGGATGGCATTTCTGGACTCACCTGGGGCCTGAGGAGAACCCACTGCACAGAACGGAGAGACCCAGGCCTCGCAGCGTTTACTCCTAGTTAACTAAAAAGCTCTTGGGCCTTGAGTGAACATCAGTGGTAGCCAGGCAGTACTCACCATGAGCCTGAGGCAGTGGTAGCCATGGGGAAAAATTCCTCTGCTTATGAAATGGGAAAGGAAGAATGGGACAAACTTTGTATTGTGGCTTGGGTGCCAGCTCTGCCACAATAGAAGAGAGCACCAGATAGATTCATAAAGATGCAACTTCAGGCCTTGGCTCCTAGATGGCAAGCATCAAAAGTCAAGGATAAAGACAGGATCCTAAAAGCAGCAAGAGAAAAGATACATTCCAAAAAGCTTAACAACAACTAGTAACAGGCTTCTCAGCAGAAAACTTACAGGCTAAGACATGTCATGCCATATTTAAAGTGCTGAAGGAAAAGACCCTTTATGCTAGGATAGTGCATCCAGTGAAAATCTCCTTCCAACAAGAAAGATAAAGACCTTCCAAGACAGAAGCTGTGGGATTTCATCAACACCAGACCTGTTCTACAAGAAATGCTAAAGAGAATTTATCAACTGGAAAGAAGAGGACCTTAACTAGCCAGAAAAACCATCTGAAGGCACAAAACTCAGTAAGTACAGACAAACACAAACTATTGTAATACTGTAATTGTGATGTATGAACTACTCATATCTTGAATAAGAAGAGTAAAAAAAGGAAGCTTTCAGTTAACAAATAACTCTAATAACTTTAAGACATAGACAGTATAATGAGATATAAACAAACAACAAAAAGATTAAAAGAGACGAAGTTTGAGTTTTTAATTAGTTTTCTCTTTGCTTTCTTGTTTATGCAACCAGTGTTGTCTGTTTGAAATAATGGGTTATAGTGTTTGTAAACCTCATGGTAGCCTCAAATAAGAAGATATACTAAGATTCACAAAATTTAAAAAGCAAGAAATAAAAGCATGCCACTAGAGAAAAATCGCCTTCACTAAAAAGGAAGACAGGATGGAAGAGAAAGCCACAAAACAACCAGAAAACAAAATGGTAGGAATAAGTTCTTAATAATAAAACTGAACATAAATGAAATAAACTCTCCAATCAAAACACAGTGACAGAAAAAAAAAAAAAAAAACAAACAACAACAACAACAACAAACACCAAGACTCAATCTGTTGCCTACAAGAAACACGCTTCACCTACAAAGCCAGACTTAAAATTAAGGGATGTAAAAAGATATTCCATGTCGATAGCAACCAAAAAAGAACAGGAGTAGCTATTCTTACATCAAACAAAATATATTTCAAGACAAACTGTAAGAAGAGACAAAGATCAACATATAATAAAGGAATCATTTCAGCAATAAGATATACCAATTGTAAATATATACGTACCGAACACTGGAGCACCCAGATATATAAAGCAACATTATTAGACCTAAAGAGAGCTGGAAACCTCAATACCCCACTTTCAGCCTTGGACGTCATCAGGCAAAAAGTCAACTAGGAAACATTGAACTTAATCTGTACTACAGACTAAATGTACCTAATAAATATTTACAGAACATTTCAACCAACAGCTGCAGAGTGTACATTCCTCTCATCACCACATGGAGGATTCTCAAGGATGGGCCATATGTTAGGCCACAAAACAAGCCTTAAATTCAAAAAATTGAAATATAAAGTATCTTATCTGACCACAGTTGAATGAACTGAGAAATCAGTAATGAGGAATTTTGAAAATTATACAAAACACAAGGGAATTAATCTATATTCTCTTGAATGATCAGTGGGTCAATGAAGAAATTCATAAGGAAGTTATAAAATTTCTTGAAACAAAACTGTAAACACAGCATACTAAAACTTGTGGGCTACAGATAAATCAGTACTAGCAAAGTTTACAGCAATAAGCACTTGTATCAAAAAAAAAAAAAAAAGAGAAACAATACATCTTAAAGAACTAGAATAGCAAACCAAACTCAAAATTAGATTGTGTCATGAAGACATGCAAAACCCGAACAGACCAACAACAAGTAATGAGATCAAAGATGTAAAAAGTCTCCCAGTGAAGAAAAGCCCGAGACCTGATGGCTTCACTGCTGAATGTTACCAAACATTGAAACACCTAATACTCAAACTATTGTGAAAAAGAGGAGGAGGAAGTACTTCTGAACTCATTCTGTGAGGCCAATATTAGCCTGACACGAAAACCAGACAGATATCCAGAAAACAAAACTGCAGGCTATTATCTCTGACAAATACTGATACAAAAATCCTCAACAAAATACTAGCAAACCAAATTCAACACAACATTAAAAAGGTCATTCGTTATAACCAAGTGGTATTTGTCCTAGGGATGCCAAGATGGGTCACCATATGCAAAAAATCAATGTGATAGATCGTATGAACAGAATGAAGGACAAAAACCATATCATTTCAATAGATGCTGAAAAAGCATTTGATAAAAATTCAACATGCCTTCATGATAAAAACTCTCAAAACTGGGTATAGAAGCAGCATACCTTAACACAGTAAAAGCCACATATGAGAAACCCACAGCTAATTTCATACTGAATGGGGAAAAACTACAAGACTTTTCTCTAAGATCTGTAACAAGGATGCCCACTTTCACTACTGTTGTTTAACATATTACTACAAGTCCTAGCTAGATCAAAGAAAGAAACAAAGGGCATCCAGATTGAAAAGGAAGAATCAAATGATCCTTGTTTACAAAACTAGGAATCCCATTACCTGACTTCAAATTATACTACAGAGCTATACTAACCAAAAATGCATGCTAATGGCATAAAAACAGACACATAGACCAATGGAACAGAATAGAGCCCAGACACAACTCCACAGACCTAAAGTAAACTCATTTTTAACAAAGGTGCCAAGAACATACACTGAAGAAAAGACCATCTTTTCAATAAATGGTGCTGAGAAAACTGGATATGGATATGCAAAAGAATGAAATTAGACCCTTATCTCTCGCCATATACAAAAGTATCAATCTAAGTGGAACAAAGACTTAAATCTAAGGCCTCAAACTATGAAACTACTACAAGAAATCATTGGGATAAAATCTCCAAGACACTGGTCTAGGCAAATATTTCTTGAGCAATACCCTACCAAGCACAAGCAATCAAAGCAAACATGCACAAATGAGACATCAAGTTAAAAAGCTTCTACACAGCAAGGAATACAATCAACAAAGTGAAGACACAACACACAGAGTAGGAGAGAATACTGGCCAACTACCCACCTGACAAGGAATAACCAAAATCTATAAGGGGCTCAAACAACTCCATAGAAAAAAATATATATAATCATCTGATTGAAAGAAGGGCAAAAATTTGAATAGAGATTTCTCAAGAGATGACACAAATGTCAAAGAGGAATATGAAAAGGTTGTCACTATCATTGATCAGAGAAATGTAAATCAAAACTACAATGAGGTATCATCTCACCCCAGTTAAAATGGCTTATATCCAACAGACAGGCAACATCAATGCTGATGCGGCTGTGTGGAAAAGGGAACCTTGGTACATCGTTGTTGGGGATGTAAAGTAGTAGAACCACTGTGAAGAACTGTTTGAGGTTCTTCAAAAAAACTGAAAACAGAACTACCATATAATCCAGCAATCCTACTGCCGGGTATATACCCAAAAGAAAGGAAATCAGTTTGTCAAAGAAATATCTGCACCCTCATGTTTATTGCAACCCTATTCACAATAGCCAAGATTTGGAAGCAATCCAAGTATCCATTAACAAATGAATGGATAAAGAAAATGTGGTACATATATACGTAGTGGAGTACTACTCAGTCATAAAAAAAAATGAGACGCTGTCATTTGCAACAACGTGGATGGAACTGGAATACATTGTATTAAGTGAAATAAGCCAGGCACAAAAACAAACTTTGCATGGGCTCACTCATATGCAGTAACTAAAAATTAAAGCAATTGAACTCATGGAGACAGAGAGTAGAATGATGTTTACCAGAGTGTAGTATGGGTAGTTGGGGACAGGAGGAGTGGGAATGTTTAGTGGGTACAAAAATCTAGTTAGAATGAGTAAGATCTATTTGGCAACACAAGAGGGTGATTACAGTCAACAATTTACTGTACATTTAAGAATTTGGGCCAGGCACGGTGGCTCACGCCTGTAATCCCAACACTTTGGGAGGCCGAGGCAGGCGGATCATGAGGTCAGGAGATCGAGACCATCCTGGCTAACACAGTGAAACCCCGTCTCTACTAAAAATACAAAAAATTAGGTGGGCTTGGTGGCGGGCACCTGCAGTCCCAGCTACTTGGGAGGCTGAGGCAGGAGAACGGCGTGAACCCGGGAGGCGGAGCTTGCAATGAGCCCAGATAGCATCACTGCACTCCACCCTGGGTGACAGAGCAAGACTGCGTCTCAAAAAAAAAAAAAAATTTGAAGTGGAATGTTTGTGGCACAAAGAAAGGATACATTCTTGAGGTGACAGATACTTCACTTACCCTGATATGATTATGCTTCGCATGCCTGTATCAATATATCTATTTACCCCCTAAATATACTATGTATCCATAAATTTAATCTAAAACAAAGCAACTTTACTATACATAATATACACATAAATCTTAAAACAGTGCCATTTTAATGAAACTTTAAGGAAAGCTCTCTAGTAATAAGAAAATAAATTTACACTTTCTAATAGTGCTGCCAAGAACTTCATATCTAACCTGGAATAATTTGGTATTTTGAGTGTAATAATTTGTTTTTCAAATTGAATGAAGGTATACAATGCCATTAAAATGATGTGTTTTTTTCCCTCCTTTGGCCAGGAGCAAAATTTCACACTTATCTGAGCAAAGCATGACTTTTAAACTCATCAAAAAATAATCTTATGCACTGCAATGTGTCCATTGTTGAAGAAAATATAGTTAACTGTTAACTGACAGAGATACTTGTTTTTATGAAAAGAAAAAATCCAGGGTAGAAAGTTGAAGTCTGTCAGACCAAGAAGTATGTGCGTGATAAACTGCTGTTTATTCAAAAAGAGGAGCAGAGACTGGGAAAGGTGAGAGAAGTCTTGGAGTACAGAATAAAACATGAATCCCAAAGCCATCAGGATCATATAGCATCCAAGACACAAGGACTACGTTTGGGTTTGGAGACAAAGTCTAGGCAAAGGTCAAAAACGCAGACAGAATCTTGCTTTGTGGGCCAAACTTAAATACATAGACCAAGGTCTTTTATAAGTCTTCTTTTAAAACTGGAGGTAACCAAAATGGAGAGGGAGTAAAGGATTATAGGTCAGGTAGGGGATTCCATGTACACCTAGCTGGGGCACCGAGAGAGAGAAAGCAGTGAGGTGATAGAGAAACAGTTCCTGCTATCGTATTATTTTCGAAACTCACAGAGTCAATGATATATTAAAGTATCACAATTGAAATCCAATTTCTATTAGTCATATTCACCATATTCTCTAATAGAGTGCTTCTCAGAATATTCTACCAGAGCATCCTTCCAGGAAATGAAATTGAAGGAATTTACCCTGGAGTCTGGCAGTATAAATTACACAGTGCCTGCAGGTTTTAAATTTCTTTGAAAGCATATACTTTATGCTAAAAATTCCTAGAGATTTTGCCTTCTTCTTTTAATATATGCTTGTTTCAACGTAAAACTATTTATTTATCATTTATTTTTTGAGACAGAGTCTCGCTCTGTTGCCAGGCTGGAGTGCAGTGGCGCAATCTTGGCTCACTGCAACCTCCGCCTCCCAGGTTCAAGTGATTCTCCTGCCTCAGCCTCCCAAGTAGCTGGGACTACAGGCATGTGTCATCACGTCCAGCTCAGTTTTGTATTTTTAGTAGAGACGGGGTTTCACTATGTTGGTCAGGCTTGTCTCCATCTCTTGACCTTGTGATCCGCCTCCCTCAGCTTCCCAAAGTACTGGGATTACAGGCATGAGCCATCACACCTGGACTTATGTAAAAGTAATTTTAAGTACTTTTGAGTAAAAATCTCCCCCACCCCCGTTCCCACGGTCTGATGTGGTTTTTTTTTTAGTGAAATGTGCTACATTTAGCCTGTAACTTTATAGACCTTTCGGTGCTCAGTTTTATTCTCCCTGTAGTATGAATACCCCAGGTAAAATCTAACATACTATTTCTCTTGGATGGTTCTAATTTTCCTGCCTGCAACTTACTCTATAGAATTATAGATACTATAGCAAAAGTAACCCAAGTTTCAGAAGCAGAAATAGCTAACTTCTGAACTCAGGTCTCTCACTCACTCACTAGCTGTGTTATCTTGGGCAAGTGACAGCCTTTCTGAGGCACAATTTATTCACTATTAGAATGGGGCTCAAATTATTACTCCAGAGCACTCCCGTGAGGTTCAACTGCAACACATAGGAACGTTATACAGATTTGGCAAATCGTATGCACTCAATAAATATAGATTGATTTTTATGTTTCATTTTAACACTATTTGTCTGCATCTCTTTCTTTGACCAAATTCTAGGTGTAAAAACGTTTAACTCGGCCAGGTGCAGTGGCTCACACCTGTAATCCTAGCACTTTGGGACGCTGAGGCAGGTGGCTCACTTAAGGTCAGGAGTTCGAGACCAGCCTGGCCAACATGGTCAAACCATGTCTCTACTAAAAATACAAGAATTAGCTGGGCGTGGTGGCACACACCTGTGATCCCAACTACTCGAGAGGCTGAGGCAGGAGAATCGCTAGAACTAGGAAGGTGGAGGTTGCAGTGAGCCGAGATCGTGCCACTGCACTCCGGCCTTTGTGACGAAGCAAGATCTCACACACACACACACACACACACACACACACACACACACACACACACACAAGTTAAAGTCTTTTCGATAATATAAAAATATTATATTAGAAAGTGCAGAATACATGTAAAATGTTTTCTATTAGTTTGGCATCCCTGTGGGAGTGCAAGTCAATAGGGGAAGGCATTATTCCCTATACAATTACTAAAACTGGTGAATGCAGATGGTACAGAGGATGCACTTAGAAACTTGCTTTTTCCTCCCTTTTCTTGTTCTTTTGACTATTTTTAAGTATTCTTTTGTTGTTCTCCCCTTTCATCTTCAACATACACCATGTCTTTGTTGCAGGTGGCATTTTATATCCTAAGAACAATATTTTTTCTTTAAAATTCAACCTTTAATGGCTTCCTTTTCAAGTGTATGAGAACTATTTTGTGAAGCACACAAAACATGAATTCCTCCTTGGGCCAGGCGACCCTGTAGCTCTCTGTCTTCAGTTCATTTTATGACTAAGATTTCCCTTATCAAGTGAACTGAGTGGATATCTGATATTACTCAGTTTAATGTATCTGCATATATATTGTCTTTGTTAACCCAAACCACAACACGAAAGGACCTAAAAACGAGACAGTATTCCTTCCAAATCCTTTTTAGTATGAAATAAAGAAATACGGAAGCACAAACAGTGTTCAAAAAGAAACACAGATAGGTAGGTTGACAAGTGGCATAAATAAAGTGAACCAAATCAAAGTGGAACAAATCAAAGTAAAAAAATTTGAGAAAGGAAATGCATTTGTGAAGGTGTTTAAGTGGTTTCTGATTCTTCAGAGTTGTATTGGTCTTTTAACCTGAAAATCCAAAGGGATCAATACGTTTCAGTAGAAAGTAAAGAACACAGGGATAATTTAGCATGACCTTCTGATTACAAAAAGGACAAGCCATGGACATAACTGTCGCTAAGAAAGTCAAGATACTTCTGCAATTACAAATCCCTAGACATTGGAAACACCAAAAATATCGCAAATACCACAAAGAATTGCAAAACTGGGGATTCAAAACTTACTGAAGAACGCTGCTGACCAGCTCCCAGAAAAATAAGGCAACCCATTTTCATGTAAATAGGAAGCTTTCCGAGTTGATTTTTTTTTTGTTTTCTTAAATATGAGTTGGAAAAGGTATTGTATAATAAAGCAGTATTCTGTTGCGGAATAATATACATAGAGGAAAGTACACGTCTTAAGTGTACAGCTCAATGAATTGTCACAAACCGAACATATTTATATTACCAGCATCGAGATTTAAGAAACAGAATATGATCAACACCCTAGCAGCTTCCTCACACCCCCTATGTGGAAGCTCCCCTCAAGAATGGCCACTATGACGACTTGTGGCATCATAGGTTAGTTTTCTCTTGAAAGGAGTCACCTAAAGATAGAAAAATGCTGGTTTTGTATTTTGAGTTAGAATACTAGTGACTGAAATACATTAGATTTATGCAGAGGGAATTTAGAAAAAAGTCACACTGATAAAATATGCTTTGGAAAACACGGGGGAATGGTATGATGCCATGAATAAGAATGTTGACTGTACACCCAGAATGCCTTGGGTTCAACTCCCAGCTCTGCAGTGTGATCTTGGGCAAGTAACTTCTCCGTGCCTTACTCTTTTCATCTATAGAAAGAGCATGTATCATTACCTATGTTGTGGTGATATTGCAAAGATTTAAGTGAACTTAGTATGGCACTTTGTAAGATATATTCTGTAAGTGTTAGCTATCACACGTTTATTCCAAACTTTCTAAGCCAAATAATCCATATCGTCTATAACTTTCCTTGTAATGTTGGCCTCAAAGTAACAGAAGGGACCAACTTCAAAATATGAGAATTAAAAGGGTTAATAAATGTAAGATGTCTGGTATGGTACCTAGCATAGAAAATGCTCAATAAAAACATTAAATAAATTACATTCCCTCCTGTTAAATGTTATCACCTGGAGGTGGAGAATGACACTCTCCTTTGAAATTTATATGGCCATAGCAGGACTTTGGTAATCTGAGAAGAGTTTAATAAGGGACTGTTTATAAAAATGAGGGAAGGTATAATGAAACCACTGGAACTAGTAATAGAGAAGTGTCACTACTACTCTTAGACTCCTAAGAATGAAAAGAAGGAGAGTGGTTTCTAGTTACTACATAGAGAGAGAACTGAGAAGAGAAGATTATCTGACAGGAGCTTTGATATTGGGTGATGGAATTTCTTTCCTCTCTCCCTCTCTTACCAAGGCTCTCATTGGCCAAATCCAACTAGTAGCCAGAGGGCAAAGGAGCCTGTTGATGTAGTCCACAGACATCAGCCTCCCAAGGAAGACAAAAGTGGAGAGTAGGGCCAAAGAAATAAGCCAAAGACATTCACCACCCTAGACATGGAAGCAAATTTCCTTTGAGCCAAGGAGATCAATGCCAGGGATGTCCATATCAGAAAATAAATGAAGGCCTACGTGTTACTTCCCATGCCTCATATTTCTATCTCTGGTGATGTCATTGTAAGGAATCATATGTATCACTGGAACACCGTCGTCTTCTTTAATAGTGATATCAAAATACTGGAATGTTTTGTGGACCTTAGCAGATAAAATCAGTAGGTATTTATTCATTATTCCTTAGCGTCAAATACTTGTAGAGACTTCTCTCTACCAAAAAAAGCACGAAAATCTGGCTATGAAGATCATCAAGAAAAAGCCAAGTTATTCCTTGCAGCTAGCAAGTGTTCAAGAGCAAAGCTACAAAATACAAGTTTTTATAATCTCTCCAGATATAAAATGTTATTTGGCATTTTATAAAGCATCTTAACTAGAACCCAATATGTATGTTACTCTATTAAGTACACTAGAAATGATTCAAACAGATGTGCATTCGAACTTTAAATAGGAAACCACACCATCGTTAATGGAAATCAAGTTGTTATATGTAAGTGGGATGTTATGAACCCAGAAGTATGCTTAACAAAAAGTCAGCATGATTCATTGTCTGATCAGGTCTATCCTTAACATGTTTTGTAATAAAACTAACTTCTAAAGCTAGGTCTCAATTGTTTTATCTTTAAGTTAGGTCAGTACTCATTCATTTTACCAGGTATTCTAAAGGAAATATTAATAAAATTATGGTAAATGCTTTATCTTATATTTTTATGTATTAATGTAATTCACAAAGTTATTTTAAAATTTGTGGAATGATTACAATCCATGATTATACTAATTACACCACCTTTAAATATCCCCTATAAAATTGAACATTCTGAAAGTTAAACCCAGTTTTTTGTTGTTGTTGAGACTCTGTCACCTTGGCTGGAGTGTAGTGGCGTGATCTTGGCTCACTGCAACCTCCGCCTCCCAGGTTCAAGCGATTCTCCTGCCTCCGCGTCCCTAGTAGCTGGGATTACAGGCGCGAGCCACTACGCTTGGCTAATTTTTTTATATTTTTAGTAGAGACGGGGTTTCACCTTGTTAGCCAGGCTGGTCTCGACCTCCTGACCTCGTGATCCACCTGCCTCAGCCTCCCAAAGTGCTGAGATTTACAGGCATGAGCCACTGCACCAGGCCTAAATCCAGTTTTTCTTTTGATTCACATAGATACATGATTTGCATTTGAGATAGCCAGTGATGGAAATGAAGGCTAATTACAATCTATCCCAATGGTTGCTTTTCTGACAGAAACGGTATGGTACAAGGTTGGCAAGATGAAGCACTTTGTTTCAAAGCATGCAAATAACACTGATTCTTCAAAAAAGAAATCTATAGGCTAGGCGCAGTGGCTCATGCCTGTAACCCCAGTACTTTGGGAGGCCGAGAAGGGCAGATCACTTGAAGCCAGGAGTTTGAGACCAGCCTGGCCAACGTGGCGAAACTCCACCTTTACTAAAAATACAAAAGTTAGCTGGGCATGGTGGCACGCGCCTGAAGTCCCAGCTACTTGGGAGGCTAAGGTGGGAGAGAATCTGGGAGGCAGAGGTTGCAGTGAGCCAAGATTGCACCACTGCACTCCAGCCTGGGTGGCAGAGTGAGACTCCGTCTCAAAAAAAAAAAAAAAAGATTGTGTTTATACACACACACACACACACACACACACACACACACACAAATACACACATATACCATGACATAATGGAATGGCTCACTAGACAAACATCTATGAGTACTCAGTTCCAGGGAAATTGCAGAGAAGAAAAGTGATATTTAGGCTTCAGATCTAGTAGAGGAAACATTATGGACAAAGGGCATCCAAAGATGACTTTAATTAATGAATGTAAAACGTATTTATTACCATTCTTATAATTTCTCAATTACCCTACGGTGCAGTTGTGTATGGACAATATAGGTGACAAGACACAGCTTCTTCCTAATTATTCCCATCCTCCACCTACTGGGAAGTCATCCTTGGTTTATTCATTCTTTCTTCTTCCATGCCTGTAAGGGTCTGTCTACAGGAAGTTCCAAATCAAAGAAATTGGAAACACAGAAAAGATAAATGTCACATAGGATACAATATTTAAAGAAGATCTTCTGTCAAAAGTCACAGAGGATAAAATATTTAAAGGAGAACGTCTGTCACTGCTATGCTTTATTTCCTTTTAGTGGTCCAACTTTATGCAATTTCCAATTCTGAAGTCAAATATTGTCAAATATTACAATTTTTATATGACTCTACCTCATGTATCAGAAAGATGCGAGTTACACACATCGACTGGTTTATGTCAGCGCTACTTCTGTGTACTTTTTGTGGGTTGTTTTAATGTTCACAGTCACCCCCATTTTACAACTGATGAAACAGACACAATATAAGTAACTTGAATAAGGTCACACAGCAAGTAAGTGCTAGATACTAATTTGGACTTAGGCAGTGTATCTACAGATCTCTACACCATTCTTTACTTTGCAACTGCTGTTTAAGCTGGGCTTGACTATCATCACATTCAGGGGCAAGGGTTAGGTGAGTTTTACTTGAGCCTTTACGTCATCTTTTCTACAAAGATAGTTTAATATATCTTTTCTTTCTTCTATCATTTCCAAAAGGTCAGATACAGTTATATAGCCTGCCAATAAAATTGCTCCTAATTGTAGGTCCCATTTGTAATGGAAAGATAGTAACAGTGATAATTCTACATATATACATTAGGAAAATTCTTCAAAGTCCCAAATTCCTATTGTTATATCATTTGACATCGGGGGTTTCATTAACTCCTCAGGACTCCAGTGTGCTCAGCAGACTCAATTACTAAATACTATTTTAGAGCACACTGCAAATTGTTCGAATGTATAATTCACTCTAATGTATTTGAAAAATGTGGCTTTTTATATTAACTAAAGAAGAAATATCATTCAACAAAAACTTAAGGCTATATAAATCAAAATATAAGAAATATAATCCTTGAAGTTGATAAGGATTAAATGAGGTAGTAGTAAACAGAAGAAAAAGTTTAACTAGGGCATTTAGTGTAGCCATTTCTTAAGATCCACTGAAAAGTGCCAGTTCCTTACTTGAAAGTCTTCCATGTGAGATTCGGTGTAGTTGTAAGTTAAATAATATAGTATCTGGAAGCAAATAGGCCTTTATTTATTACAGTTCTATAATTTAAATTTTGCCAGTTGTGTGAACACTGATAAATTACATAGCACTTGGCTTATTTTCCTTATGTGTCAGACGAGGGGGATAGTCATTCAACTAAATGTAACCAGTATTATGCATCATACTGTCCTAAGAAAAATGGGAAGATAAAAGATAAAAACATACTGCCACTGTTTTCACAGCTTTTGTAATAGCCTAGGAAGGAAATATACATTTAAGCGAATATAATTATAGCATGGTGTTATAATCCTATTAATAGTGATTTTTTTGTCGTAAGTATGGTGCTGGCACAAATAAAAGATATCTTCACTGGAGAGAACAACAGAGTGAAAATCCCTGAATAGAATATACAAGGTTGAACAGGTTATCAACAGGTAGAAGTGTAAAGGGAAGATAAAGTCAAGCAGAGGAAACTTCACATGCTAAGGATCAGATGAAATAGACGCACTGTTCAAGGAACTATAAGCCACTTCTTGGAACGTAAGTGGACGGATGGAACATGAGACTAGAGAGGTACAAGACACCCCATCCGAGTGTACCGACTTGATTAACCACCCAAAGCTGCTTAGGCAAATGTCTGCTTGTCTTTTCTTTTCACCCTTTCAAACATAACTAATTTTGAGAAGCTCTTACCATGTTTTGCATTTTTTAATTCATATTTTGACTGACACTTTAACATAGTATTGTTTAGGAAAAACCAATATTGGCACTGTTTACCAATTATTTGCATGCAAAAATATTTGGCAAGGAAGCCATACTGTCCAGGAGCAACTGCTGTAAATGGTAAGTTAACTACAAAATTGGGCCTAGTATTTCATCCTTTCCTGAATCCATACCCTTTGCAATGTAGCATTGCTGTTCTTCTCATGAAAAGTTGGTATCTATTTCCCTGCTTCTTAAATCTGGGTTGGCATTTGACTCATTTTGACCAACAGAGTGCAATTGAAGTGCTGGCATTTCCTCTCCCAAATGTAGACCTCAAAAGGGCTTGAACACTTTTGCTCTCTTGTTCATGCCTCTGCATTTACCGTAAGAGCACATCAGAGCTAGACAGCAGGAGGATGAGACAAGTGGAACCGAGTCAAGTTGCCCTAGTTGTCCCAGATGAAGTTTTCCCAGACTAGCAGACAGCCAGACATTTCGCAGAGCTGAGCTGAGATCAGCAAAGCCCCTTAGCCAACCCCCAGCTAACTAGAGACACACGAGTAATCCTAGCAGTAAGGTGAAGAACTTCCTGGCTAACATATGTATTTGAAATAGTATGTTGGTTGTTTTAACCTACTGAGTTTCAAGGTGGCTTATTACACAGCAATAGCTAATATGTGTACATACATATGAATATTTGTTTCTACACAGAAGATGTCTGAAAAATTAAGCCACATTATAAAGATATTTATAAAATATTTTTAAAAGAGCCCTAGGAGTTTTTATGAGAAATATCAAGCTAGAAATTATTTTACTGCTGAAATTGAATATGGGCAAAAGTCAGTTTCTAGAGATCTGACTCATGTGCTATTAGAAAAGAACACAGTCATTATATTCCATGCAGTTCCTCCAATGCAATCTTGCAAAAAAGAATTAACGAAGCAATAGTTTTGTCAGTTTCATAGAAATTTTTTAAATACAGTGTCAACCTTAATATATACATACACACACTTTTTTTTGGGGGGGGGTGGGGGGGTGGGGGGGGGGGGACAGAGTTTCACTCTTTCGCCCAGCCTGCAGCGCAGTGGTGTGGTCTCAGCTCACTGCAACCTCCGTCTCCCAGTGTCAAGCGATTCTCCTGCCTCAGCCTTCCAAGTAGCTGGGATTACAGGCGCATGCCACCACGCCCAGCTGATTTTTGTATTTTTTTAGTAGAAACAGGGTTTCACCACATTGGCCAGGCCAGTCTCAAACTCCTGACCTCGTGATCCGCCCACCTCGGCCTCCCAAAGTGCTGGGATTATAGGCCTGAACCACCGTACCCGGCCAACTTTCAAATATTTCTAAAGCTACCTTTCGTAAGACTTAGTGTTTAACTCTTCTGTTGTAGCCACTGTATTGTAAATGCAACTAAGGTTGTATTCCTTGCCCAATATGTTCATTTGACGTTCAATTGGAGAAGTTAAAAAAAAAAAAAAGTTGACTTTATTTTTCTCCCATTTGCTAGATTTTTACTGTCACTTTAGATAAAAAGTGTGTTTATCTTGTTTTCTTCATTATAAGCTATAATTTCCAGTGGTTTATTCAGACATTTCCAAAACAAAAATAGTAAATCAAAAATAGTTCCCTGTGAACTAAAACTGTCACCTTTAGTTAGTGTTTCTAGAAAAATGCATTTTAAAATAAAGTTGAATAAGAGCCAAAGGAAAGTAGAGTTGACAATTTTTTTCTTACAAAGCTCAAAGAAAAAATTTAAAATTGCCCTATGAGAAAATCTTAATAGGTACCTGACATTTCAATAGGAAAAATTAGTTATAACTGCTTAAATAGAAGTTTTTACCAAGAGCTTTATTACATAACTACAAAAGGTACCTAATTCAGTGATTCATCTTTATCAGCAAACATTTGCTAATTGTAAACAATCCTGTACAAAATATTTTTATTTCAAAGAGGTAGCAACTTTCCAAAAATATTGAACCAAAAGGAAATTGAAATGACCTTGGTTTAAAATATCATTATCAGCTTGAAAAGTGGAAACTATCAAATAGTTAACCAACTTTTTAAAAGATTGGTGCTCACTCACCTGGCTGAATGACCTACCTCTTTGAACCTTAAATTTAAATAATGGCTCGGTCCACATTAACCTTCTCTTGATTTTAGACTGTAATATCCAATATGGGAATTTAAGCAAAAACTTAAAGTTACATCAAAAATGGAAAAATATGGAGAGAGGCCAAGATGACCAACTAGGAACAGCTGCAGTCAGAGGCTCCCACTGAGAAGAACCAAAACCGTGAGTGAATCCTGCACCAGCAACAGAGGTGTCCAGGTTCTCTCACTGGGACTGACTAGGCAGTTGGCATGAGAGCGCAAGGAAAAGCAGGGTGGTGCCATGGCCCACCTGGGAGCCAAACGCGACAAGGGAAGCTCCCACTCCCAGCCAAGGGAGGTAGTGAGTGATTGTCCTACCCTGCCTGGGAAATCTTTCTTTTTCCACAGATCTGTGCAACCCGCAGATCAGGAGATCCCACTTGCGAGCCCATGCCAACAGGGCCTTGGGTCTCAAAACACAGCTGTGCAGATTCTCGCAGGCCACTCGGATGGAGACGACTCCTTAAGACTGCTCAGTTTCCGGGGGCGGGGGCGGCCATCATCACTGCAGCTGCCTGTTACAGCAAATGACTGAGCTCTCCCGGGGAGGGGCGGCATCTAAGAGAACTGCCACCTAAGAGAACTGAGCTGCTGTGGGGAGGGGCAGCAGCCATCACGGTGGCTACCGGCTTACTGAGAGGACTGAGCTCCTGTAGGGAGGGCAGCAGCCATCACTGCAGCTCCAGTCCACCATTTTTCCCCTTCAGGTTTGAGGGAGACTGGACAGTTTGAACCCAGGAGGAATTCCCTGCAGTACAGCACACCAGCTATGGCAAATAATGGCCAGATTGCCTCATTAGGCCGGACTCTGACCCATCCCTCCTCACTGGGCAGGGCCTGCTTGCAGGAATTCCAGTAACTCCAGCCAGGGGTTTAGGGAAAGAACTCCGATTCCCCTGGACCTGAGCCCCTAGGGGGAGGGGTGGCCATGGTCTCCGCAGATCAGCGGACTTAGTCTTTACCCTGCTGGCTCTAAAGAATCCGGGAAGCCCAGACAAGTGGGATTCCCCCAGGACAGCAAACCCCCTCGACCAAGGGGCAGCCAGAGTGCTTCCTTAAGTGGGTCCTGGATCCCGTGCACCCTGACTGGGTGAGACCCACCCCCAACAGCAGTCGCTAGACACCTTATACAGGAAGGTTCCTGCTGGCATCTGGTCAGTGACCCTCAGGGACAGAGATACTAGAGGAAGGAGCAGGCAGCCATCTTTGCTGTTCTGCAGCCTCCTTAGGTGACATTTCCAAGTGCAGAAGGGACCCAGGTGAATGGGGTCTGGAGCGAACCCCCAACAAACTGCAGCAGCCCTATAGAAGAGGGACCTGTTAAAAAAGCAAACAGAAAGCAACAACAACAGCATCAACAAAAAAAATCCCAATTAAAACCCCATCCAAAGGTCAGCAGCCTCCAAGATTGAAACTAGACAAACTCATGAAGATGAGAATCAAAAAACAAAAACACTGAAAACTCAAAAAGCCAGAGTGCCTCTTCTCCTGCAAGTGATTGCAACTCCTCTCCAGCAAGGGCACAGAAGTGGACAGAGGCTGAGACGGCTGAATTGACAGAAGTAGGCTTCAGAAGATGAGTAATAACGAACTTTACTGAGCTAAAGGAGCATGGTCTAACCCAATGCAAAGAAGTTAAGAGCCATGATAAAACATTACAGGAGCTGTTAACAAGAATTATCAGTCTAGAGAGTAACATAAATGACCCAAGGGAGCTGAAAAAACACAAGAACTTCACAATGCTACCGCAAGTATCAATAACCAAATAGACCAAGCAGAAGAATGAATTTCAGAGCTTGAAGATTATCTTGCTGAAATAACACCAGCAGACAAGATTAGAGAAAAAAGAATGCAAAGGAATGAATAGACGCAGAAAAGTCTTGATAAAATTCAACATCCTTTCATGTTAAAAACCTTCAGTAGATTAGGTATTGATGGAACATGTCTCTAAATAAGAGCTATTTATGACAAACCTACAGCCAATATCATACTAGATGGGCAAAAACTGGCTGTAGGTTTTGGTATGACAAACCCTTGAAAACCAGCACAAGACAAGGATGCCCTCTCTTACCATTCCTATTCAACACTGTATTGGAATTTCTGGCCAGGGCAATCAGGCAAGAGAAAGAAATCAAGGATAAATAGGAAGAGAGGAAGTCAAACTGTCTCTTCTGTGTATCTAGAAAACTCCATCGTCTCACCCCAAAATCTCCTTAAGCTGGCAAGCAAATTCAGCAAAGTCTCAGGATACAAAAATCAATGTGTAAAAATCACAAGCATTCCTACAACAATAGACAGAGAGCCAAATCATGTATGAACTCCCATTTACAATGGCTACAAAGAGAATAAAGTAAGTAGGAATACAGCTAACAGGCTAAGTGCACCACCTCTTCAAGGAGAGCTACAAACCACTGCTCAAGGAACTAAGAGGACACAAACAAATGGAAGAACATTCCATGCTCATGGATAGAATCAATACTGTGAAAATGGCCATACTGTATAATTTATAGATTCAATGCTATTCCCATTTATCTACCATTGACATTATTCACAGAATTAGAAAAAAAGAAAACTGTTTTAAAATTCATACAGAACCAAAAAGGAGCCCATATAGCCAAGACAATCCTAAGCAAAAATAACAAAGCTAGAAGCCTAATGCTACCTGACTTCAGACTATACTACCCAAAACATCATGGTACTGGTAGAAAAACAGACACATAGACCAATGGAACAGAACCAACATCTTGGAAATAAGATCACACATCTAATACCCAACCAACTGATGTTTGACAAACCTGACAAAAACAAGCAATGGGGAAAGGATTCCCTATTTAATAAATGGTGCTGGGAAGACTGGCTAGCCATATTCAGAAAACTGAAACTGGACACCTTCCTTACACCTTATACAAAAATTAACTCAAGATGGATTAAAGACTTAAACACAAAACCCACTAACTATAAAAACCCTGTAAGAAAATCTAAGCAATACCATTCAGGATATATGCACAGGCAAAGATTTTGATTTCCTGACAAAAACATCAGTCAATTGCAACAAAACTAAAAATTAACAACTGAGATAGAACTAAAAGGCTTCTGTACAGCAAAAAAAAAAAAAAAAAAAAAAAAAAAAAACCACAAAACCCATCATCAGAATGAACAGGCAAACTACAGAATTTTTGCAATCTATTTACCATTAACAAAACATTCTTCCCCTGCATCCTTGCCGTAAGCTTCGACCTCAGCCTTGGATAGACCCACCCTCCTCCAACCTGCAATCTTTTCCCGTGTTTTTTTTCTCTTAATCTTGGTCTATTTTTCCTCTCTGCTTCACCAACAGTTCATCTCCCTATTCTTTCTTCAGTGTCTTCTGAAACCCTAGAATAATTTGAATGGTTGTCTTTATGCCCTCAGTCTCAGCTATTCCATAACAAACTCTCCTTACTTAGAATTTGATCTTCATGTTTGTTTACCTGCAATGGTAAACAGGCTTAAGGCTTGTCTCCTTCCCCCGCCCTCCCCATACTTAAGATCAAGTGGGAGGTTTCTATTTTAACATATTAACTGATGCCTTCCCTCATTCTTGGAAGCTATATATGTGTACTTCCTCAAGCGTGCTACTATAAAAATACAAGGAAAGAGACATCAAGGATCAAATAATGTGTTTCTCAGTAATTCCCTGGAATCTATTGATAAGATTAGAGCCCTGCATTGAAAAATCCTTAGTATATTGAGCACCAATGACATTATCTATCTCGTAAATAAGAGCTGGGAAGATTGTGTAAGATACAGTTTGACTCATTCCAAAGGAAATGTTTTTCAACTTCCAGCTGTTCAACTGGAACAAGAACAGTATTGTAATGGATTATGGTAAGACACAGTCGTTGTTATGAGCTTCTGACAAAGTACTGTATCATTCCACTCCCACTCTGAGACTAAGTTTCAGAAACCCTATATAGGTTTAGAAGAATTCCAGAGTTAAGATGTACCTTGCTTGCTAGAATATGGTTTGGGAGGTCAAATCCACTCAGTCACCCCCTCCCTCCCCATCATAACACTAGCACAGTAGGTTAAGGCATGAATGAGTCAGGTGTCAAAGCAGGCGAGACTGAAAGTATGCTTCTGGGCACTCCAGGCATGATTAAATTGGTATGAAAAGGACACGAGAGAGGACATGATATCCAAGGGCTTGACTGGATCCCAGTCATCGTTGGTGGTGACATGGGGATAGAGACCAACAGACTGAATGATTACTTGTATCAGCAGAAGACTTCAAGAGAGGATGACTATAGGCTTGTCATCCCCGATTTCTGGATGTGACTTAAGTCCCTTTAAATTTAAAGGTTGCTAATGCCATCATGACCAACTACCATTGAACATTTTAACTGATGCTCTGACCTCACAGCTTTTTGACCTGCTAAGCTGCAATGACTTTGATCAATTTGCGTCCATGTTCATGGCCAGTTCATGCTTTCTCACCTACCTCGAACCATCCTACCCCATGGATCACACACAGTGAATTGCTCACTTAAACCACAGTATACTGTTCTTGAAACTTCTGTCCCCTTTTTAAAATTCAAGTATTATCTACAATGTGACAGATATCACATGAGGTTAGATTGAATAATGATTTAGTTTCTGCATTTCTGGAGCTTACTGTCTCAAGAAGATGAACAACAAATAAGAGATGACAACATTTTACATGCTAAGGTAGAAATAAAGTCAACTGAAAAAGAATTTTAAGGCTAAGCTATAGGAAGCCCTTTCTGAAGAGATACAATTCAAGGTATGATCTTAAAAAGGAGATTTTATAAAAAGGGAAGAATTACAGATAGCAGGCACAAGATGCACAAAGGGAAGTAGGGGAAGTGGATGCTAAATGAAGTTAGTGGGCAAAGAAGGATAAGGGGTAAGCCACAGTAGAGATGTTAAACTAAATGTAATAGAGATGCTTTTACAGGCTTTGGGTAGGAGAGATATGATCTAGTTTGTGTTTTATAAAGATCTCTATGGCTCCTGTCAGAAGACATCAAGGAGGGCAAGAGAAGCAATGGAAGACTCCAGTGCCTCATGCATTCATTTTAAAACTCTTAGTGGTGGCTAATCTTATTTAAACTAATCTTAGTGGTGGCTACCACCTCACCATCAGGTAAATCTCCTTCTCTCACTCACTGTTGATCATAATTGCTTTATCAATTGTTAGTCCTGATTTTACCCAGCCTCCGATTCTTTTAGTTCCCTTTTTGATTGCTATGCAATTCCTGAAGTGGTCATATAACCCAGGCCTGTAGGTCCTCAGGACACATGGCATTTCATCACCGACCCTTTCCTGCTTTGCTCAAATGTCAGGGGAATAAGCCCCCCTCCTCCTTTTAAAAGCTGACCCCTAAATATGTGCTTTTGAGATAATTGGCTACCAACATCTCTAGGATTTAATTCTCTTCCCTCCTCGTTCACATACACACAGGCATCTAGATATGGCAGGCAGTAGGCATTAGAGTGAGAGAGCAGACATTGAAGCTACACTCAGGCCTGTTTCTCAGACTTTAGTATATATTAGAACCACCTGGATGAGCCCGTTATGACATGCATTGCCTGTTAATTCTGATCCAAGTGTACAGAGGACTACAATTTTGAGGAAATAATTCTAGGCTCAGCTTTACCACTGATTAAGTAGCCATGAGTACATCAAGGCACATTTCTGAGCATTCATTTCTTATATGAAAATGAAGTAGGTTACAGTGGTTATTCTCTAAGGATACTCTCAGCACTCACAGTCCCCTATTCTGTGTCTAGAATCTAAATAAGGCTAGGAAAAAATGCAAACATAAAATGATAACATTGTAAAAGCTAAGAATAGTTACTAAAAATTAGCCAAAACCCTTTGCTTCTCCAAAGTCGAATAAAAATCAAGTAATGACATGTTATGTATAATTGCCATCAAATAAAAGGAAAGGAATTTTATCTTAGCCTAAGCTAAGGGTAAGATTTTCAATCTGAAGTCCACAGGGACAAGACCAAGAACAGGAACCTAACAAGTCCTTTGCAATGATCTGAATAATGAAACATCCCTTAGATCAGAGTTTCTCAACATTTGTTTGCACATGAAACCTCTGAAGATGTTAGTCAAGTGCAGACTCGTGTGAGGTCTAGGATAGCGCCTGAAAATGTACATTTCTAACAAAACCTCAACTGGTGCTCCTAGATTGCAGACCATAATTTGAGTTGCAAGGCCTTAAGTCTATCCCTCACAGCAGCTGTCATACCAAATTTTCACTTTAACAACAATGAAAACCTTAACAGAAAGTGTTTGGCACTTTCACAAAAGAACAGATAAGCTTTTCATGTCTTTTTCTTAAATCTGTGTTCACCCATTGTTGAGGGTAGAACATTGCGACAAGTTCATTTTTACAGAGAGCCAAAGTAAGATTCCCCAAGGAAGTTTTCTGATATTCTCTATTGATACAAAGATTGAGCTTAGAAAATGTAGAAGAATGAACGGTCAGCATGAGCCTTGAACTCTGGCTACCATCAATTGTTTCCTGCCAAGATGCATCTCTTTTCTTTCCTAAAAACTGCCAGTTTTCTCTCTCGCCTGGCTTGTTTGTGCAAGGATCTTCTTTCTTCTGCCCTTCTCAGCTAGAGTCACTGACACACTCTCCTCCTGTGAGATATGCATCACTCAATACCATGGTAGGAGGAGGAAATTTACAGCAGTTATGATGGACTAGAAATGGCCACAAAATTATTTGACACTTCTTTCATCAAGAGGCAGCATCTAATTCTCCCCTTAAAGCTCGGATTTGTCTTAGCAACTTGTCTGCCAAGTAGAATGCAACGAATATGATGTTATAGGTCTTCCAAGATTAGATCATTATTAGTAACTTTTAGCCTCTTTATGGGTTTCTTAGAATACTCACTCTGGGAGCCCTAAGATGCCATGCATAAAAACTGACTACCCTGAAACCACCATGCTGTAGAAGACATCTACAAGTCCTCTGGTTGACAGTCCCTGCTGAACTGAGCCTTTCAGCCATTCTCACAATGGCATTAAGCATTAAGTGAATCTGTCTTGAACCCTCCAGACCAGCACATCCACTAGCTGAATTCTGCCAAGTGATGTCAACTGACACCACACAGAGTAGAAAAATCAATAAGCTGAACACGGCTGAATTCCTGATTCACAAAATCAGATAAAAAGATAAAAGAGATGTTATTTTAAGCCACTGTACTTGGGGTGTTTTGTTACATAGTAATAGAAAACCAGAAGAGTATCCTAAGCTCCCTCTGGAATGGAGGCTCTGCCTTGAATCACAGCCCTCTCGATCGAGACCTTGATACATGTCCCTCTTCATCGACTCTTGAACTCTTTCTGGTTCCCTGATTTACTATTGCCTATGTTTCTATTTAACAGATTACACCCTGTCTCCCAGCACTCAGTCTCTTCTTAGTTACACCTGAATTTCCCCAGTGCCTGTCCTGCCTAGTCTGTATTTTCTCCTTTTCCTCCAGCCTACACTGCTATAACCTTAGGATACTTTCAACCTGCTGTGAGAAACTCTATGCAAAGTGTTTCCATGATAATTTTCTGCTCTTTTCCCTTCTGTAGGGAGATATGTTTTGGCTATCTCTACCAGTTTATCTACTTCTAATTTCACTTTAATCCAGTGCCAGGCCCGGTTGTAAGCACCGAAGAATAAATGAATGACTATTGGATAAGTGAATTAGTGAGTGAATGAATAAATAAATACATCAATGCATTTATAGGTTATGGTCTACTACTCCACTGAAATTGTTACTTTAAAATTAGTCAAAGCAACCAGAAAACCGAATGGTCTTTTCTCAGACCCCAAGTAAATTTCAATTCAATCACTGCCTTTGGTCAATGTAGTCACCTCCTTAAAAACTGTTTTTCTTGCTGCTTCTGTGACCAGACACTTTACAGTTTCCTGTGACTTCTCCTAACACTTCTTTGCTGGCTTCTCTATATCTGCACGTATTTAAATGTGAATTCTCCAAGACTTGGTTTTGGGTTCCTTTTTAACTGTGTATAATATCCTTTTGCCGTATCATCTGCCCCCATGGCTTAAACTCCATATTGATTACCCCCAAACCATTTTCTTTAGTTGTGGTATCTTGCCTATGATACTTTCTCACTGCTACACCTATCAAACACACACTGATTTCCCTCCTCAGATCCAGACATATTTTCCGGAGATTATTGGATATCCCATCAATACATCAAAGACAATATATCCCAAATACAAATCACTTCCCCATCATAGTTTTGCTTATTTCTATTTCTAACCATATCCAATGATACCACCATCCTCTCAATTTTTCAGCCCTAAGACATAAGTTATTTTCACCTCATTCTTGCCACATCCTTTAATTACATCAATACTGATATCCCTGTTGTCTCTAGATACAAAATGTCAGTTATAATAAACTCTAAAATGGTTTCTTCACCTATAATCCTCAAATCTTGACAGTTATCCAATTTAGTCTATGTAGTACAACTAGTTATTTTCCTAAACCGTTCTTGTAAGTACTCCAACCACAGTTGCCCCCTAGTGCTTTCTTATTCTGTAGATTGTATTTTTGTGTTCTAGCCTTCCACTCCACCAACACCTTTCTTCAAGGCTCTGTTTGAATGAATTCTTGATTCCCATGTGCCTTGCCATTCCTTTATAACCAACTCCAAAAAAAGTCCCTCCTGATCTTGCGGTCTCTCGGTCATTTGTTCATGTCCCTTAATGACATATTGTCATTATCTGACTTGAAGTTGTTGTAGGTTTCCTCACTACTTTATGAGCCCCTGGCTGAAAGATATTTTTTTTTAATCCCCTACTAAAACTAGCATTGTCTATTGCACATAGTGAATGTTCCGTGTTTCTTAAATTTGGAGCTGTTGAACAGTTTCAGTTTTCAGCTACATTCACTTTTTGACTGAGTTGTACCATAGGTGACACTAATCTGTGCCAAATGGGGCACATTTAAACTACTTACACTATTACTTTAATGTTTTCATTGAACGCAGGAATCTTTGTAGCCTCTAGGTACATTTAAACTTTAAGATAAAAATTATATTCTGTCAAATGATTTATAATCAATACCATTGCCAATTAAAATCAAATAATAGACACAGAAGTGCCTCAAAGCTTCAACTAAGATAGACACAAAGGGGTGCCAGTGGATAACAGTGTTATTTCATAATCACAGCTTCCCTTTTCCCTCTAGCAATTATTCTGATGCAGAATCAGTCTTAAGAGGTTTCTGCAGCTAGATGTAAACAAAGAAGTATCATTACAAAACTCACTTGACTACACTTCTGACACCCTGGTTGGGGAAATGTATATGGATTGATATGTCTGACTGACAAGAACTCAAAATTTAAATGATCCCTTGTCCAAGAGCCCTGTGGTTATCATTTAGAATTCATCTGCACAAGTCATTAAGTATACTCTTTGGAAAACTATTTTGTTCCGGAAAAATGTAAAGTCAAGAAGCAGGAATGCTAACATTTGAAAAAAGCTTCTTTAATAATGCTATAATTCTGAACTTTTTGTTTATATTAGAAAATATTTTTTCTTTTAACTCTAGCTATAGTACAATTAGAGATGTTTCAAAATTATTCAGGTAAGTGCTTAATTGGGTCCACGTAATCTTCTGAAAGTTAGCCCTTTAGAGGTTATAGCCAAAAAATCGTGTTTTATCCAGATCCACTAAGATTCCATTAACACTTCTGCGTGCCCACCTCCTTGGCTTTTGTGGTCTTTGCTTCTCAAAACTTCTGTATCTACATCTCTTTAGATGACTGTCTTCAGGCTAGTAAAGCTGCTTTGCCAACAAAAACAGAGATCCGGAAGTGCCTTGGTGTTTATGTCACCTTAGGGTAGTCTTAAGGCAATGACTGGTGACTACTGGAATACAAAAGCCCAGCTCCTTCTGTATCAAGTTGCAACAAGCTGAAGCATAGTTTAGGCCCAGGTTTTCCTGCAGAACCAGACTGAGGCTGGCACTTTGCCTGCGATTGCTCCTTGCATGATTTCTTCCCCATTCCTATTCTACTTCTCTTGCTCACCTACTTGCCATCCCTGAGAACATTTCCTTAATTAAACTACTTTCATGCAAATTCTCCTCTCCACATGGGCTTTACCAAAACCCAACCTGAAACATAAGCATTCCTCTAATTACAGTAATAAAGGCATCAGATTTCTATTTGAAAATACTAGGAATGGGCCGGGCGCGGTGGCTCACGCCTGTAATCCCAGCACTTTGGGAGGCCGAGGAGGGCGGATCACGAGGTCAGGAGATCAAGACCATCCTGGCTAACACGGTGAAACCCCATCTCTCTCTAATAAAAAGACAAAAATTAGCCGGGTGTAGTGGCGGGCGCCTGTAGTCCCAGCTACTCGGGAGGCTAAGGCAGGAGAATGGCATGAACCTGGGAGGCGGAGCTTGCAGTGAGCCGAGATTGCTCCACTGCACCCCAGCCTGGGCGACAGAGTGAGACTACGTCTCAAAAATAATAAAAATAATATGGTGTTAAACTGATTAATCTTTAACTTCGACAGAATGTTAGAGTTCAAACCTGTAGCTCTATGGAGGTTTTGATTACCATTATAATCCATTAACACAATATGTTACTAAGATAGCATTTCAGAGCACAGTATGATTTTCTTGTAGCTATACTACAAAACTACAATACTACAGTATCTGTATTACTTTAGAAAATCTCTAAAAAAGTTGTGAATTATACTGCCAATGGTTTGATTAGATAGAATCTTACTGATTTTTAAATAATATCAAATTTTTCCATCTCTAATCATGAAAAGAGTGGTGAGGTAGGGCAGGATAAATCGTAATATTGGGGCCAGGTGCAATGGCTCATGCCTGTAAGCCCAACACTTTGGGAGGCTGAGGCAGGTGGATCACGAGGTCAGGAGTTCGAGACCAGCCTGACCGAGATGGAGAAACCCCATCTCTATTAAAAACACAAAAATTAGCCGGGCACAGTGGCAGGTACCTGTAATCCCAGCTACTGGGGAGGCTGAGGCAGGAGAGTTGCTTGAACCCGGGAGGCGGAGGTTGCATTGAGTTGAGACAGCACCACTGCACTCTAGCCTAGGCGACAGACCAAGACTACGTCTCAAAAAAAAAACAAAAAACAAAAAACAAACAAAAAAAAAACAACTAATATTTGTATATTAATATAAACTCCTGAATCCCTCATGACATAATATCCATGTGTATCAAGCCTTTTTATTCCTGCATCTGTTACCGTTATTCTCCCTATGCCTCTCACAGCCAGAAGGAAAACTGAAAGTCTACTATCTTCCTTTTGGTAAAAATTTGAAAAGAAGGGCATTCAGGTAGAGATGGCATTTATTAATGCCAGTGACTGCGGCAGACTGTTCTTGGGCCGCTGGGAAGCCTGTGGTGATAAACAGCATTGGAGGAAGAAAGAGTCACCATTTACATATGGCACATGACTCTCATCACAGCTTGTGTTGCTTATTCACCAGTTTGACTTTGCCCTTGCCAAAAGGTTAGACAACCTCTGCTATGCCCTCCTCATCCTACTGGCAAATTACCACTTTGTTCCCATTTTATGAAATTATTGAATAAAGATCACCATTAATATTTGTCTTTTTTAATACCAGTTATTGACAAGTGATCGTCGTTCATTCAAAAAATATTTATTGAATGACAGTTAAAGAGCCTTTACTGTATTTTAATTTCCAATAAACATATATGTGTCACATATTTTTAAAAATATGGAGAAGTTCAGCGTTTTTGTTTTGCTTTACTTTGGTAGGTTAATGCCTGATGTTCATAATCTTTTCCAGTTCAACAGGCTGGGTGAGTGGTATGGTACCATAAAAAGGATGATCAGCTGGAAATCAAGACCTTCAATCTCTACTTCCATTCCCTCTAACAAACAGCCATGGCATGTTGTCATTTAATTCTGAGAGAGCTTCATTTCCACATCTTCAGAAAGACAGAACAATGCTAGATGTACTTGCATGTATTCCAATAGTGATTGCCTTTCAGACCTTCCTCTTCTCCCATTTGAATAGACATTAGCCTCATGAGTGACCTCCACACCTGTACTCTCCCCATACACGATTCTGCATATAGCCACCAAATGTAACTTTCTAATATGCAAAACATAAAAAAAAACTTCCTGGTTTTTTTGAACACATTCATCTCAATTGAGCAAGGAATCATCCATCCACATTGTATCCCCAGTCCACCTTTCCCGCATCCTTTTCAATTTTTTGCCAATTGCCCATATCCCAAAACCTCCATTACGGTCATGTCAAACTACTTACTGGTTCCTGAACTCAATTGGTTTGTGACTTCATACTCCTCAGCATTTTTTTTTTTTTTTAATCAGCCAATAGGCTGAAAGCTCCAACAGGGCCAAAAAAAAAAAAGCCTTTTTCAGCTTAGTCTTCTTAGCAACTAACTGATTGTCTGCCTATAAAAGATGTTTAATCAATGTTTGGAAGAGATGGACTTGAATGGCCTGTTGTACTCTTGTTGGCATGAAAATCCCTTTAAGTTTCTAGTCTATAGTTGATATCAATTTCAACCCCAATACAACCCTAGCCAAGCAAAATTCGTCTCTTCTTCCTTCTGCTCCCATGCATACCCCCGTGGTAGGACATACTATATAGTCTTGTAATTGCTTTTGATTGCTTTTGAAATACCTATTTTTCCCATTTATATGCCATCTCTTAACTACAGTGCCAGGTATATGGCAGAATCTCAAAACTGAGTTAAAAAGACTAAGATTTCTGGGCTAGGCGCAGTGGCTCACGCCTGTAATCCCAGCACTTTAGACGGCCGAGGTGGGAAGACCACCTGAGGTCGGGAGTTCGAGACCAGCCTGACCAACATGGAGAAACCTCATCTCTACTACAAATACAAAATTAGCCAGGTGTGGTGACGCATGCCTGTAATCCCAGCTACTCAGGAGGCTGAGGCAGGAGAATCGCTTGAACCCAGAAGGCGGAGGTTGCGGTGAGCCGATATTGCGCCATCGCACTCCAGCCTGGGCAACGACAGCAAAACTCCATCTCAAAAAAAAGAAAAAGAAAAAAACTAAGATTTCTTTCAAACCTGTAATCTGATGATGATTGTATGCAATTCTTTTTAAAAAGCTAAAAATCTTAGATTGAGTTATTTATGAATACAAACAGGTATGAAGCAGAAACCACGAAGGCAGCTGGCAAAAAATACCAGAGTAAGTACAGCTAGGAACTGTAGATGCCAGTGTCAGTCTACATCTTTGAACTGTATGAAAGAGCCTATTGGACACTAAGTATTTATCAAATTCTTTCTCTTTGAAGCTAGTTCTAAAAACAATAGAAACAAAAGGAATTTTAGCTAACTTGCTTTACCTTGGCTACAGAATATTTTAAATCTAACATTCCAAATAGTTCTTAAAGTATTCTGAACTGGTTTCTTTCTGTGAAGACAATTATGATTTCTGAGTCTATGAATAATTGTATACTTACGCAATGTTAGGACAGTATTATCTGTAAAATGATTTGATGTTCAATATTTCTACTATTAATCTTGGAAAAGTAAAAAATATCTTCTATCAGAGGAAATCTAACACTCTCAAAAATAAGTTAAATATGATACAATGGCAGTTCTACAACATCCAGATATTCAATAGTAGGCAGCAATTATTACTTGCCATAATTCACATCTTTGAAAAATTCAAGAGGGCAAACTAATTTTGCCAATGTGAAGGAGCTGTAAGAAAAATTATGCTTTAATGGAAATATAAGATGTTTTTGTTGCCTTAAGTATTGCTTTTTAATCCTTGAAATTCAGTCAAATACTTAATAATTATTTTCCATATATCTTATTAGACATATTAGCACTCATGCTGGTTAGAGATTTTATCTTCCTCAGAGCCATACCAACACACCCTTCTAAACCCTACTTTGCAACGCTGAGGCAAAGACTCTGCAAACCGTACTTCTGGCTTTACTGACTGACTCTCAGAATCTAAAGGTAGGGAGCAATAGAGGGAGACTGCAAGCCTGGAGGAGGGACAAAGGATTTACTCATTCACACTAGCTTCCCATGCACTTACTGTCCTTATTAGCAGTTCCCTAGACGTGCTTCTTCATGCCTGCAGCAGCACTTTTTAGTAACAAGCTATTCAATTTAGCTTGTGTTTTGTTTTTCAAAAGCTTAGAGAATCAGCTTCATCGCCCCTGCTGCAGAAATACCAGCACCACCTGGCTGGCAGAGGTCCGGGCCTCAGTCCCATTGGGCCCTTCCTGCTATCCCAGAGAGGGTAGCACCAGCCACGTAGCAGCCCCCTACTCAGACCTGAGCTCAGCTTTGTAGAGTCCTTCCTCAAGGGTTCTAAGTGTTAGTAATTCTAACCTTTTGTCTTCCCAGCCCTAGGAGCGGTAGCTACTTTGTGCACTTGCTACCTCTTCTCTTTGTCAATTTTTCAATACCTAGATCCCAATTCCTCTTGTTACATTATTTTCTGCTACAGTCACTCAAGTGGTTTCTGTCTGTTAACTGACCCTGGCTGACACATCATCCCAAACCCAAAACTTGTCACTATCAAAATGGAAATACATTAAGTGTTGGGTCTGTGTTTAATGGGTAAGGATGATTTCTCATTCTTCCAAAGACCACATATTATATTCCACTATTGTTTTCTACTACTTTTATAAAATAATGACTAAATATAGATATACTTCAGTACAAGGATATTTGATCTTCTGGACAGCCGTATCCATATGTGCATTCTTTCTGTAGATGGAACTCAGTTGTATTAGAGTCAAAAACTTTTTTAAAAATTCTAACCATGGACAGTTGAATCAAATCTAGCCCTGTAGTTATTTTTCAAAGTCAACATGAATAGTAAAAAATAAAATATTGTCAAAAATCCACCTGGAAAATTGCTATACCATCCATACTATACACATAATATGGATTAGATTTTAAATACTGCGTAGTCACCTCCTGCACACCAAAGTTTAGGAAGACATTGAGCTAAACTCAAAGAGCAAAAAGCCAGAGTGTATGCAGCTTTCTTAACATGCAATTCTTCCTGCCTCTAAGGTAAGCCCTAGATTGTTTTCTTTACCTGCAGGGCTTTCTGCAGTATGTCTTAATAGTAAAGATAATCCAGCACAGCATTTGTAATATGCTTGTGATCAAGAATGGATGGAAACAGGATGGTATAGTCCTAACTTAAGCATGTAAATTAATTGCATCTCATAATGTCAGCCAATCCACACTCTTAGTCATACAGATTAAAGAACCAAAAGGAACCCAAGGAAATCAGAAAGGGTAATTCTGCTTAGAAAGTTGCTCTTACATTTCATATACATGGTTGAAGTTTGACCTCAAAAAAAGAAAAATCAATTTCAGGCACTGAACGGCAATTGTGTAACTTATTTATTAAATTTATAATACAATGAAATCTGAGTTTTCTATTACTCTCATTTCTTATTTGGACACTGGTAATTGCTTCTTTCTTATGCATTTTTAAAGTATAAATCCTGATACTAGCTGGCACTACCCCAATATTTTTTCCCTTTAACTTTGGAATTTTCCTTTTAAAAAATTGTCATTCTAGAGTTAACATGCTACCAGCTTTTCACAAATTAAATTTGTTGTTAGAAAATGGCTTCCATGGCCAGGCGCGGTGGCTCACGCCTGTAATCCCCGCACTTTGGGAGGCCGAGCCAGGTGGATCACGAGGTCAGGAGTTCGAGACCACCCTGGCTAACACGGTGAAACCCCGTCTCTACTAAAAATACAAAAAATTAGCCGGGCATGGTGGCGGGCACCTGTAGTCCCAGCTACTTGGGAGGCTGAGGCAGGAGAATGGCGTGAACCCGGGAGGCAGAGGTTGCAGTGAGCCGAGATCATGCCACTGCACTCCAGCCTGGGTGACAGAGCAAGACTCTGTTTCAAAAAAAAAAAAAAAAAAAAAAAAAAAAGAAAATGACTTCCATTTTATCCAAAATTTAGGCTCTTAAAAATGTATCCCTTTTCATGATATTCTTAATATTAATGTTCTGTAGATGTTCTATAGAGGCACTTGAAATAAACTCAACATATCTAATAAAGACAGAAATGGAAAGGTAAGTACATAGGTTTTCTGGTTTTGATGTACTCTATCCCTTGCCTGTTTTTTCTTGACCAATACATACAATGTTACTTAAACATGCCATCCTCAATATTCCCAATGTCCCCTATACTAAGACTAGTCTTGACCCCAGACTGAAGGAACTTAAAGTTCCCACTAGGAAATAGTAGGGTGACATAGGAAAGTAACTCATCCGAAAAGATTTTCTTTAGTGGTTCAACCTATACAAACATACCACCCAGGGAATACAGCAGGCCCAGTGATAATTCTAGACATATTCAACATAATGATTTCCAATCAGGTAGGCAGGAAATGAGGAAAAGCTGTTGAGTGACAGTTAAGTGGCAGGGAAATATATAATTAACCAATCAATTTAACAACAATTAGTTAAAAGCGGTACCAACAGCTACTTTTATTGAGCCCTTACTATGGGCCAGGCACTTTATATACATCATCTAACTTAATATTCACCAAAAAATTCAGGAAGGCAATATTTGTCAATATTTTGAATTTTATTTTTTAAACCAATGGAGAGTCTGACAGAAAATTTGAACAAGTTGCACCAAGTCCTAAAACTAACAGATGTTGCTGGAATTGGAACCAGGACCATGTGCTACAGTAACTTGCTCAAGTTTCTACTAAGCTATGCTCCACTCTACGCAACTCTAAGTTTCATCAATACACTGGAACTCATTTCATATACTCATTCCCCTTAGTCTATTACCATGAAATACACTAGGTTCAAACTTGCAATAAGAAATCATTAAGGGACTCATCACCTTACAATTCCAAGTACAGACAAGTGTGGAAATGATCCTACCAAACAAGGAGAAGTGTATCACTGTCGCCTTTACATCTTCTCAGGATGTTAACTTTATCTCCAGCTTAATGACAAGCACAAATTCTTGTAGTTCTTAAATTTCAGGCTGTTCTTTAGTTTTATAGTACATATTTAACTGTATTTATACCCATGCCTGAGAAAATGCTGTGTCTTATAAAGTCATATAATGCTGAAGGTCAAGGAATATGCTCTTGCCAGATTTGTAGGGATCCTAGCCTAGCACCACTCACACGTAATCATTTATTAAAAATTATTTTTCTGATCATGATGCTAATCTGTTCAGAGTCATAGGCCCATAAAGACAATATTTCCTATGGGTTAAGATGTGCTAATCTCATTAACTGAACAAACCAGAATGAATTTAATCACAGCAGTCAAGGGAAGCTACCGCATCATTCCAAGACAAATTAGAGATATTGTACCCCTGTGGTGTTATCTTTGATTTCGATTAGAGGTTTCAGGCTGCTTCCTATGGCTAGATTCAAAATATTAAGCCTACTAAAGAGAATGAAAGGTAAGTTTATGACTTTGCATCTTGGAACTGCACTACTGATAACTGCAAAGCCTAAGGCTTTGAAGAGAAATGACAAAAAAAAGTCAATCATATTTTCATAAATATTAAGCTTCCCAATTGTATATAAATATAAAGAAAACATGCACATTACTTTTTAAAATGATTCAGGAGATAAACTACTGGTATAAGTGATCATGTTATCACTAAATCTCATGAAAAATATATTAAGCTATAACGATTAGCCTGCTTTTAAAAATGTGTATGAAAGTCAGTTATTAAAAGCTAGATGATGTTGTTAAATAAAGAAACTTACAATGTGTTGAAATTTCCCTATTGGAGAATTATAAAACAAATAAAATAGTGTTTTTCTGATGCATCACATAAAATGTAGAAGCGAAATTTGAGGGTTTAGAATATTTCAATAAAATATTAAATGCCTGGGCAGTCTCCGTAATTGTTTCCCTTGAGGGGGAAAAAAAAAAAAAAAAAAAAAACCTTTCCTTTCAGGTAGTAGGCACACAGTTTTACTCACCCCTTGTCTCTCCAAATCTAGACTCCAAATATATATTAGTCACAATAAAACTCACATTCTTATTCTGCTTGACTAATTTGTAGTCAAGCTGAATACAATTCAGTGGAAACTGAATATGAAATAAATTCATCTAATAAAAAGGTACCAATGACTGTATAACAACATATGTAGATAAAAGTGTATCATATATAAAACATTCAATCCCACATGGCAGCTTTCCTGGAATATAAAATCATTTTATCATTATGGGTATTAGCTCATGAAGTCAGTATTATTTTAAAAACATGCTAAGAATGTTAGCTTCAAAATTTAATATCTCAAAAGCAGGATTTTGGTTATACCAAGTGGTTTATAAAATAGAGATATTTATCCATACACAGTTTTATGTGACAATTTAGGTGTCCTTATAGCTTCTTGGTGGGCAGTGTAAACTGGTAAAAAATAATAATAATAATAATTTTGCTAAGTATTTTTGCGATACATATAAAGACCCTTTAAAAAATGTTAATATCCTGGCTGGGCACGGTGGCTCAAGCCTGTAATCCCAGCACTTTGGGAGGCCGAGGTGGGAAGATTACAAGGTCAGGAGATCGAGACCATCCTGGCGAACACGGTGAAACCCCGTCTCTACTAAAAATACAAAAAGTTAGCCAGGCGTGGTGGCAGGCGCCTGTGGTCCCAGCTACTCGGGAGGCTGAGGCAGGAGAATGGCGTGAACCCAGGAGGCGAAGCTTGCAGTGAGCCGAGATCGCGCCACTGCACTCCAGCCTGGGCGACAGAGCAAGACTCCGTCTCAAAAAAAAAGGTAATATCCTTTGACCTAATAATTTCATGCGCTGGAAGCTGTCTAAAAGGAAACAAAATGGTCTACTGGGTTATTTAGAACAACAAAAATAAAAAACTAAATGCCTAACTTTAGAATAAGTGGTCATTATGTGAACATTTAAAGTGTGTCTATAATAACCTAAAATCACTTATGTGATAGTAAAAAAGGGTGAAAAGTCATAAATATAGCACGATCACATCTAAATAAATAGCAGAAAACCCTCATTTCGGGTAAAAAGGAACCCAATGAAATATGCCAAAATGATAACAATGACTTTAAGTGAGAATATGGTTAATTTTGTTTCCTTTTACTTCTTCCATTCAATTGGGAATATTAATAATTGGACCCTTACAGCTGGGCATGGTGGCTCACACCTGTAATCCCAGCACTTTGGGAGGCTGAGGCGGGCAGATCACGAGGTCAGGAGATCGAGACCATCCTGGCTAACACGGTGAAACCCCGTCTCTACTAAAAATACAAAAAATTAGCCGGGCGTGCTGACAGGAGCCTGTAGTCCCAGCTACTTGGGAGGCTGAGGCAGGAGAATGGTGTGAACCCGGGAGGCGGAGCTTGCAGTGAGCCGAGATCCCATCACTGCACTCCAGCCTGGATGACAGAGCAAGAATCCATCTCAAAAAAAATAAATAAATAAAAAGAAAATTGGACCCTTATCTGTTATATACAAGAATCGACTCAAAATGGATTAAAGACTTACAGGTAAAACCTGAAACTAAAACTACTAGAAGAAAACATGGACTATGAGAGGTGGCTCATGCCTGTAATCCCAGTACTTTGGGAGGTTGAGGCGGGCAGATCATGAGGTCAGGGGTTTGAGACCAGCCTGGCAAACATGGCGAAACCCCGTCTCTACTAAAAATACAAAAATTAGCCGGTCGTTGTGGTGAGCGCCTGTAGTCCCAGCTACTCAGGAGGCTGAGGCAGGAGAATCACTGGAGCCCGGAAGGTGGAGGTTGCTGTGAGCCTAGACCGCACCATTGCATTCCAGCCTGGGTGACAAAGCAAGACTGTCTCAAAAAAAAAAAAAAAAAAAAAAAAAAAAAAACATCAACTAAAAGCTTATGACATTGGTCTGGGCAAGGATTTTTTGGATATGAACCCAAGAGCATAGGCAACAAAAATAAAAATAGACAAATGAAGTTGCATCAACCTAAACAGCTTCTGCACAGCCAAGGAAATAATCCCTTTTCAGGTATATGGTATACAAATATTTTCTCCTGCTCCATGAGTTGTCCCTTCACTCTGATTAATATCCAAAAATATATAAGAAACCTTAAACTCAATAGCAATACAACAACCCAATTAAATATGGGCAAAGGACCTCAACAGACTTTTTTTTTGAAATAAAAAAGCTTTTAAAATATGACAAAGTAAAATCACAGTGGCAACTGTGATTAAGGAACTGAATTTTTATTTTTTATTTTTTTTAAGTTCTGGGATACATGTGCAGAACGTGCAGGCTTCTTACATAGGTATACATGTGCCATGGTGGTTTGCTGCATCTATCAACCCGTCATCTAGGTTTTAAGTCCTGTGTGCATTAGGTATTTGTCCTAATGCTCTCCCTCCCCTTGCTCCCTACGCCCCCACCCCCACAGGCTCCGGTCTGTCATGTTCCCCTCCCCGTGTCCATGTCTCAACGAGCATGTCTTAAGGGAAACAAATGGACAACAGGTATATGACAAAATGCTTATCATTAGTCAGGTAACTGCAAATTAAAACAATATGCTATCACCCCACACCTGTCAGAATGGCTATTCTCAAAAAGACAAAGGATAACTAGTGTTGGTGAGAATATGGAAAAGAGGGAAACCTTGGACCCTTAATGGGAACATAAATAGGTACAGCCATTATGGAAAACAGCAGGAAGTTCTTCAAAAAAAAATAAAAATAGAACTACCATACAATCCAGCAATCTCACTACTGGGTACATACCTAAGGAAATGACATCAGTATATCAAGTAGATATCTGCACACCCGTGTTTATTGTGGCAGTATTCACATTAGACAAGATATGGAATCAACCTAAGTAACCATCAACAGATGAACGGATTCAAAAATGTGGAATATACACACAATGGAACACTATTCAACTTTAATAAGAAAATCCTGTAATTGGGAACAATGTGGTTGAACCTGGAGGATTTTGGAGTTTTCAAATTCTCAAGTCCAGGCACGGAAAATTATAATTTTTTTTTTTGGAAAAAAATGTGAAATATAGACACTATTTTCTCCGTCTCTGAGCCTAGATACTATTTTCCTGGACTGGATGGAGAATGTAAAGTAGAAACAAGAGTGTGTTCCTGAGAGGAGGGGATGGTGAAAGAACCGCCACCACAACAGAGAAGGTTGGGGGTATCCAGGTGCAGAAGTAATTGGGTCCCATTCCAGAGTCCAGCCCAGGAATGCAACAAGACTCCAAAGTTATGTCAGACCCAGGCAAGAATCGTGAGCATGTGTCTTAGCAAATGGACATGAGCTAGCCACCCAGTACCCAGGCACTTCAGCAGGATATAGGGTACAGTAGAATAATTTCCCAC